>NC_000002.12:58069140-58372170 GCF_000001405.40 Homo sapiens
CTAACAGAGAATACTGATATTTTGTTTTAGCAGATAGTCTTCCTGGTTGCATTCAGGCTTCAAGTTTTAACAGGTCTGTGTTTGGGGTACAGTGTTCGTTTAGTTTTCAATAGCAAAAGTATTGTTCAGGTCATGTGTGTTCCATTCAGTGACCAGCCTGGGACTTGGGTATTGGTAGTTTACTTATCGAAGTCTGTATATGCTGTTTAATGTTAGCTCCACGTATACACAGCTTGTGAGTGAGTCCAGGAGTTTATAAACAACTTGTTGTGGTGACGTTCCCAAGCTCTCTCCCTCCATGGTCTCCTTGGTACTTATTCTCTGGGATCTCCTTTTTAGGTTCTCTGACCAGAAATCTGGGCTTTTATTTACCGTGCCTTGCCATGCACCTGTGTCTGCGGAAAATGGCAAGAGGGTGTAGAGTATAAAAAGTTATTAGATACCACTCTCTTTTGGGACCACAACTCATTTGATTGGAGAGGAAAGTTTCCTTCCTTGAGAGTTTCAGATCTCTGTGTGTCCCTGCTGCTGCCGCCACTGTCATCACCACAGAATTGTTTGGGTGCTGGGATGGGAAAGAACCGAAAGGTGAAAAATAGGAAAAAAGAATAATGACATTTTCTGCACTCTCCGACTTAGGATATTCATTTCCTACTCTTCTTAACTAGAGAGCTTCTACTGGGGCATTTTTTGTTTGCCCCAGTGTCAACTTTCAAGGTTTGGGCTTCCTTGAGTTCTGACCGAAGGATACCAGAGGGGAAGAAATGGAATATCTGATTCAAGTATGATACTACTGTGAATTGTGACCTTTTCTCATAATCTACCTGCTATTGTATTATTTTTAATCAGGAGACTCTTAGAGCAATTTCAGGTTTGTGGAAAACTGAGCAGATAGTACAGAATTCTCATATACTACCTCTTTCTCCCACTGTTGTTATAGTTTTCTTTATTACTAACAACTTGAATTAGTGTGGTAAATATGTTATAATTTATTAAACAATATTGATACATTATTATTCACTAAAGTCCATAATTTAAACTAGATCTCATTAGTTGTGTTGTATAATTTTTTTGTTGTTATTTGTTTTTTCTTGAGATGGAGTCTTGGTGTGTTACCCATGCTGGTCTTGAACTCCTAGGCTCAAGTGATCCTCCCACATCAACCTCTCAAGTAGTTGGGGTTACAGACGTGCACCACTGTGCCCAGGTTTTATGTTATATAGTTTTATGGGTTTTGGTATATGCATAATATCATGTGTCCACCATTACAGTCTCATACAGACTAATTTCACTGCCTTGAAATTGCCTTGTGCTACACCTGTTTATTCGTCTTCCTCCCTGCCCCTAAACCTCAGGCAACCACTTCTCTTTCTCTTTTTACTGTTTCTGTAGTTTTGCCATTTTCAGAATGGCATATAGTTAGAATCCTACACTATGTAACCTTTTCAGACTAGCTTCTTTCACAAAACTATATGTTTTTAAGATTCCTCCATATCTTTTTGTGGCTTGATAGCACATTTCTTTTTATGGCTAAATAATAATATCACAGTTTGTTTATCCATTCACCTGTTGAAGTATGTCTGGGGGTGGATTCCAGTTTTTGTCAGTTGTGAGTAAAGCGGATATAAATGTTTTATGTGCGGATTTTTGTGTGAACATAGCTTTCAACTCATTTGGGTAAATACCCAGGAGTGCAGTTCCTGGATTGTATACTAAGACTGTGTTTAGCTTTGTAAGAAACTGCTAAACTGTCTTTCAAAGTGGCTGTACTATTTTATATTCCCACCAGCAATGAATGAGAATTCCTGTTGTGCTGCATCCTTGCCAGCATTTAGCATTGTCTGTGTTTTTGGATTTTAGCCATTCTAATAGATGTGTAGTTGTATCTCATTGTTTTAATTTGCAATTTCCTGGTTATATATGATGTTAAGCATCTTTTCGTATGTTTATTTTACACCTTTACATCTTTTTTTAGAAGTTTCTGTTAAATATTTTGCTCATTTTAA
Organism: Homo sapiens; assembly: GCF_000001405.40. Lineage (NCBI taxonomy): Eukaryota > Metazoa > Chordata > Mammalia > Primates > Hominidae > Homo > Homo sapiens. The sequence continues at coordinate 58,071,147 of NC_000002.12, forward strand.
AATGAGTTGTTCATTTTTTATTGTTGAGTTTTAAGAATATTTTGTATATTTTTGATATGTCTTGTCAGATGTTTTGCAAATATCTCCTCCCAGACTGTGATTTATCTTATTATTTTCTTAACAGTGTCTTTGACAGAGCAGAAAATTTTTAATGTTAATGAAGTCCAATTTAACAGTTCTTTTCTTGCATGGATTATGCTTTTGGTATTATATCTGTAAAAACTCATTACCCTTAGGTCACCCAGATTTTCATCTGTGTTATCTTCCAGAAGTTTATCGTTTTTGCATTGTACATTTAGGTTTATGATCCATTTTGAGTTAATTTTTATGAAAGATCAGTGTCTAGATTCACATTTTTGCATGTGAGTGTCCAGTCCTAGTACCATTTACTGAAAAGACTACACTTCGTCTATTGAATTGCCTTTGCTTTTTTGTAAAGATTGACTGCCTATTTATATTTGACTATATCGGGTCTATTTCTAGGCTATCTATTACATTGATCTATTTGTCTATTTTTTTTGCAGTACCACATTTTCTTAATTATTGTTTATAGAAAGCTTTGAACTTGAATAGTGCAAGTCCTCTGACTTTGTTCTTCAGTATTGTGTTTGCTGTTCTGGATCTTTTGCCTTTATGTACAAACTTTAGAATCAATTTGTTGATATCCACAACATAACTTGTGTTTTTATTAGTATTGCTTTGACTTTATATATCAAGTTGAGGAGACTGACATCTTAAGAATATGAGTGAGTCTTCCTATTTATGAACATGATGTATCTCTCCATATCATGATGAAGATTTTCTTTCATCAGATGTTTGTAGTTTTCCTCATTTGTATGTATTTTGTTATATTTATAACTAAGTGTTAATATTTCTTTTTTGGTGCTAATTTAAATGGTATTGTGTTTAATTTCAGATTCCAGTTGCTCATTGATGTTATTTAAGAAAAAAACTGACTTTTGTGTATTAAATTTGTATTCTGCAACTTTGCCATACTGATGTATTAAGTCCAGGAGTTTTTTCTTTGATTCTTCTGGATTTTCAATGTATAAGATCATGTCATATGTGAACAAAGATGGTTTTATTTCTTCCTTTGCAATCTGTTTACCTTTTACTTCCTTTTCTTGTTTTATTGTATTAGCTAGGACTTTCAGTATGATATTGAATAGAAGTGAGAGGAGACATCCTTGCTTTGTTCCCAGTCTTAAGATGAAAGCATCTAGTTTCTCAGCAGTAAGTTTAATTTTAGCTATGGTTTTATTTGTAGATTTTTTTTATCGAGTTGAGAAAGTTTCTATCTATTTCTAGTATTACTGTGAATTTTTATGATGAATTAGATTTTGCCAAATGGTTTTGTTTTTTAATGTGATCATATGATGTTTCTTTTGTAGCTTATTAATGTGTTGGATTATGTTAATTGATTTTTGAATGCTGAACCAGCCTTGTATACCTGGAATAAATCCCATTAAGTTGTGGTGTTTAAATCTTTTTATGCATTGATGGATTTGATTTGCTAATGTTTTGTTGAGGATTTTTTTATCCATCTTTATGAGAGATATTGATTTGTAGTTTTTTTTCTTTTAATGTTTTTATCTGGTTTTGTTATTAGGGTGATGCTGGTTTTATAGAATTAGTTGAATGTTCCTTTGCTTCTGTTTTCTAGGAGAGATTGTAGAGAATTGGTATTATTTCTTCTTTAAATGTTTGTAGAATTCACCCATTAGCCCATCTAGGCCCACCCATCTAGATTTTCTACTATGTAAGTTTAGATAATTTATTTTAGATCTTTCTCCTAATCAGATATATGTATTCAATGCTATAAATTTCCCTTTAAGCACTACTTCTGCTGCATCCCTACATTTTTAGAAATTATGTTTTCATTTTCGTTTAGTTTGAAATACTTTTTAAAATGTACTTTGAGTTTTTGGATCCATGTGTTATTTAGACATATATTGTTTAAATTCCACGTATTTTGACTTTTAGTCATTAATTTCTAATTTAATTCCATTTTGGTCTGAGAACATACTTTGTATGATTTCTATTCTTTTAAATTTGCTGAGGTATGTTTTTTGGCCCAGAATGTTTTCTGTCTTAGTGAATATACTATGTGAGCTTGATAAGAATGTATATTCTGCTGTTGTTGGATGAGGTATTCTGTAAATACCAGTTAAATTCATTGATTGGTGGTGCTGTCAGTTCAACCGTATTCTTATTAACTTTTTGCCTGCTGCATCTGTCAATTACTGATGGAAGTGTGTTTAAGTCTCCGGCTATAACAGTGGATTTGTCTGTTTTTCCTTCCAGTTCTCTTAGTTTTCACCTCATGTATTTTAACATTCTGTTGGTAGTATATACACACTAAGGATTATTATGTCTTCCTGAAGAATTGACCCCTTTATTATTATTTAATATCCCTCTTTATTCCTGATTGTTTTTCTGGTTCTAAGTCTGCTGTATTAGGCTTCTATAGAGGGGCAGAACTAATAGGATTATATATATATATATATTTATATTTATATTTATATTTATATTTATATAAAAGGGAATTTATAAAGGAGTATTAAACTCACATGATCACAAGGTCCCACAATAGGCCATCTGCAAACTGAGGAGCAAGGAAACCAGTCTGAGTCCCAAAGCTGAAGAACTTGAAGTTGGATGTTCGAGGGCAGGAAGCATCCAGCATGGGAGAATGATGTAGGCTGGGAGGCTAAGACAGTCTAATCTTTTCACATTCTTCTGCCTGCTTTTATCCTAGCCACCTTGGCAGCTGATTAGATTGGGCCCACCCAGATTAAGGGTGGACCTGCCTTTCCCAGCCCACGACTCAAATGCTAATCTCCTTTGGCAACACCCTCACAGACAGGTCCCGGATAAATACTTTCTATCCTTCAATCCAATCAAGGTGACATTCAGTATTAACCATCACATCTGCTTTGTTTGATATTAGTATAGCTACTGTAGCTTTCTTTTGATTTGTGTTAGCATGATAGATCTTTCTTTGTCCCTTTACTTTTAATTTATCTGCGTTTTTATATTTAAAGTGGGTTTCCTATAGACATCATATAGTTGTCTTATTTTTTCAATCTACTCTGTCACTATCTGTCTTTTAATTGGTGTATTTAGATCATTAACATTTAAAGTGATTGTTAGTATATTTGCATTATTATCTGCTGTATTTGTAACTGTTTTCTATTTGTTATGCTTGTTCTTTCTTGGTTTTTTATCTGTTTTTTTTGCCTTCTCTGTTTTTAATTGAGCATTTTGTATGACTCCGTTTTCTCTCCTTTCTTGGAGTATCAATTCTTCTTTAGAAATTTTTAGTGGTTGATTTAGAGTTTGCAGGGCAACATTTACAACTAGTCAAAGTTTACTTTCAAATAACACTATACTACTTCACAATTAGTGCAGGTACCTTATAATTATTCTCTCCTGTCTCTTGCTGTAATTCATTTCACTTATTCATAAGCTATAATAACTCAACACATGGTTATTTTGAATAAACTTTTTGCCAATTAAAATAAAAAAATAAGCTTTTATTTTACCTTCATTTATTTCCTCTCTGGCACGGTTCATTTCTTTTGCAGATGTGAGTAATAACAGGTATATTATTTTCCTTCACTCTCAAGAGCTTTTTAAAAACATTTCTTGCAAGGTGGGTCTACTGTTGATGTGCTGGTAAGGTGTGGGAGAATATGAGACCTTTTATAATCTTACGACTAAATCTGCTTTTTATTTTTATTATTTAGTTTCTTTCCTATTTTATTTTAAGTTCAAGTGGTACATGGCAGGTTTGTTACATGGGTAAATTGTGCGTCATGGGAGTTTGGTATACGGATAATTTTGTCACCTAGGTAATCAGCATATTAGGTAGTTTTTCAGTGCTCACCCTTCTCCTACCCTATACCCTTAAGTAGGCGCCGTTGTCTTTTGTTCCCTTCTTTGTGTCCATGTGTACTCAGTGTTTTCCTTCTGCTTATAAGTGAGGACATGCAGTATCTAGTTTTCTATTCCTGTGTTAATTTGCTTAGGACAATGGCCTCCAGCTCCATCCATGTTGCGGCAAAGGACACGATCTGATTCTTTTTTATGGCTGTGTAGTATTCCGTAGTGTATATGTACCACACTTTCTTTATATAGTTCACCATTGATGGACATCTAGGTTGATCTTTGCTATTGTGAATGGTGCTGCAATGAACATTCATGTGCATGGGTCTTTTTGGTAAAGCAATTTATATTCTTTTGGGTATATACTCAACAATGGGATTGCTGGGTTGAATAGTATTTCTATTTTAAGTTCTTCGAGAGTCTTTCAACTGTTTTCCACAATGGCTGAACTGATTTGCATTCCCACCAGCAGTGTATAAATGTTCCCTTATCTCTGAAACCTCGCCAACATCTATTGTTTTTTGACTTTTTAATAATAGTCATCCTGACTGGTACAAGATGGTATCTTGTGTTTTTGATTTGGATTTACCTAATGATAAGTATAAACCTATTTTTTTGGTGGGGGGCCTATGCCCCAGGATGTGACCTTCACCAGTATTTCTCAGCTTCCTGTACCCTACTTAGGTGAGATAGGAAAGCTAGAAGAGGCTGGAGTGGTTATTTTTCTTCTCCCATGTTGATTAGGTTCTGGCAAAGTAGTTTCCCTTCCCCTGCTGGAAACAGGAGATTTTTCTGATATTCACTGTGAGAACATGGAGGGCTTATAGTAAAACTCTGCCCCAATAAGATGTGATTCTCTGTATTCACTTGTCTTTCCAGTTTTTGGGCACTGATTTGCCTTGTAACCTCAGTTCTCTGATGGATTAAAGAAAAGCTGTTGATTTTCAGATTGTTCAGTTTTTTTCTTTTTTCTCCCCCTTAAGAAGACAGGAGTAAGGACCTCCAAGCTCTTAATATGTTGAGTGGAAACCTCTCTTTACTTTTTAAGAGCCTTCTAATAGCTACTGTCTTCTTTTTTTTTTTTTTTTTTGGTCTATATTTTATAGCTGTTTTCAGTGGGAGAGCTACAGTTGAGTGTTCCTACTCCATCTTATCTGTACAGATGCTCCTTACAGTGGGGTTATGTCCTCATAAGTCCATCATAAATTGAAATTATTGTAAGTCAGTAAGGCATTTAATACATCTAGCCTACTAAACATCATAGTTTACCCTAGCCTACCTTAAATGTGCTCAGAACACTTTTATTAGCCTACAATTGGGCAAAATCATCTAACACAAAGCCTATTTTCTAATAAAGTGTTGAGTATCTCTTGTAAGAGTATCATACCTCATATCACTAGCTTGAGAAAAGTTCAAAATTTAAAAATTCGAAGTATGATTTCTACTGAATGCACAGTGCTTTTTCACCATTGTAAAGTAGAAAAACCCTGTTGACCATTGTAAGTTGAGGACTGTCTACATTTTTTTGAAATACTGATTTGTTTCCTTTAATGATTATATTTCTATTTAGGTTTTTTATTTTTTGAATTATTTTGGTAAATTATATTTTTTTCTAGGAAATTGTCATTTTTTCTAAGTTTTTAAGTTTACAGATGATAGTGTTTATCATTAGTTTTTTTCAAAATCTCATGCACATCTATGGTTTTGCTCTCTTTCCAGTACTCGCACAATTTTGTAAGAGGATTGTTACCTTTTTAAAGAGAAATCTTGAATATCACCTATTTTGTTTGTTTTTATACTTTAAAATTTTATTTTGTAACTTTTAATTTTTAAATTTTAAAGAGCTTGCAAAAAAAGAATGTTTCCATATTCTCTACTCGACTGCCCTAAATGGTGATATATTATAAAATAGCACATAGTACATTACATAGTTATCAACACCAGAAAATTAGCATTGATACAATACTATTAACCTATTTATATACTTCATTAAAATTTTGCCAGTTCTCCTACTAATGTCCTTTTTTGGTTCAAAATCCAAGATGACACAATATGTGTAGTTATCATTGTCTCTGTAACTCCCTTTGGGAAAATTCTTCAATCTTTTTTTGTCTTTTATGAGCTTAGCGCTCTTTTTTTTCTCCTCTAAATTATTTATTGAAATATTTTCTTTATAGGCTTTAAATACCTTAGTGTAAGCAGAACTTGAAATACAAAGGACAAACATTGTGTAGAACCTAGAACACCCTATCAGTTCATTGAATCATGATTTCCTCCACACAAGTCCTCGGATTCTTAATTTGTTGAATTGATCCTAGGCCTTTGTTGTCTCAGGATATTTTTCCTAAATCCTAATTGATTGACCAGTCTTATCTGAAGAATTCCTGCCCCCTACCCACAATCTGTGTAGGTGAGTTATTCTTCTGTCTCTTAGAAAAAGTTAGACTAGGCTGCAAAGAACCTATACCTCTAAGCGTCTCCTCCATTTTTTTTTTAACCTTCTTTAAATATATTTTTGGGTGTTTAAATGGGATTAGAAGTGTCATCTGGCCCCCAAAAGTGACCACTCTTAAACTAAAGATATTTCCATAATAATCAAAGCATAGTAATTTTCTGGGAGACTTCTCACTTCATCACATCCTTCCATACCCTCTCTGGCAGTTCTCTTGAACTTATCCTAGTGATTCTTCTTCCTATTGAAAAATAATGTGCGTACTGCCACAATTTACTGTAGAGTTCTGTTGTTAGTGGGATAAGGCCAACAATACCATGTAGAATTCTGTTGCTCTTCCTTCTTCATGCATGGAAATTTGTCTAAGTATTGTTAACTCCCTAGATGTCTCTATACTTCCAGCAAAGAGATAGCTGGCAACATAGTTTTGTCATTTCTTGGACAGAACTCTTTTTCTTCTCAGGCCAATGTGATAGCTTCTTAGCTTGCCCTCTTTCAGAATCCTTGTCTTTGGTAGCCCGTAAGGCTGCAGAATTTTTAAAACTGTGTTTGTATATACAGTTCAGTAGTGTTAAGTATATTCACATTGTTGTGCAGCAGATCTCCAGAATGTTCCCATTTTGCAGTACTGAAACTCTATATTCATTAAACAGTAATTCTCCATTTTCCTCTTTTCCCAGCACCTGGAAACCAGCATTCTACTTTTTTGTTTCTATGAATTTAACTACTCTAGATACCTCATAAATGTAGAATCATATAGTATTTGTCTTTTTGTGTGTGGTGTGGCTTATTTTACTTAGCCTAATGTCCTCAAGGTTCATTTATGTTGTAGCATGTGACATGATTTCCTTCTTTTTAAAGGTTGATTAATGTTCCATTCCAAGTATATGCCACCTTTTGTTTAATTATCTGTCCATGGCCATTTGGGTTGCTTCTACTTTTGGCTAATTGTCTGTAATGCTGCTATGAGCATGGGTGTGCATGTATTTCTTCAGGATCTTACTTTTAATTATTTTCAATACATACCCAGAAATGGGATTGCTAGATCATATGGTAATTTTATTTATTTTTTTGAGGAGCCGCCATACCATTTTTTATAGTGATGGGGTAATTTTATGATCCCATCAACGGTGCACAAGAGTTCCAATTTCTGTGCATCCTTGCCAGCATCTGTTATTTTCAAAATTTAAAACAAATTTTGTTTGTTTTTATAGTAGCCATCCTAATGGATAGGGGGTGATATTGTGGTTTTGATTTGCGTTTTTCTAATGATTAGTGGTGTTGAGCATGTTTTCATATGCAAGTTGGCCACTCGTATGTATCTTTAGAGAAATAGCTGTTCAAGTATTTTGCCCATTTTTTATTATTTTAGAGAAAGGGTAACTCTGTGTTGCCCAAACTGGTCTTAAACTCCTGGGCTCAGGCAGTCTGCCTGCCTCGGCCTCCCAAGTGCTTGGATTACAGGCATGAGCCACTGCACTGAGCTGATTTTGCCCATTTTTAAACTGGACTTTTGTTGATGTTGGGTTATAGGAGTTATTTATATATTCTGTATATTTACCTCTTAGGTGATTTGCAAAGAGGTTGACACTTTTGAAGAGTACCAGCTAGTATTTTGTAGAATGTCCTTCAATTTGGGTTTGCTTTAAATTCAGATTATGTGTTATTTAGTAAGAATATCATAGAAATGATATTTTGCTTCTCCCAGTACTATCAGTAGGTGCATGATTTATTGTATATCATTATTAGTGACATTAACTTTGATCCCTTTTAATAATTAAAGTGATATTTGCCAGGTTAGCCTGCCATAAATTCATTATTTTCCATTTACAATTAATAAGTGTCTTGTGGGAAGACATTGAATGTATTTGCATTATGTTGCTTTTAATCATCCATTTGCCTATCTGTTTTAATATCTATTAACGACTTGCCCCAATTATTACTTGCCCCAATTATTACTGTGACATTTGCCAAATGATGATTTTCTATTTTTATCATTTCTTCTACATATCTTAATTTATATTTATTAATTTATTTCAGCTGCAGGAAAGAGCTGTATCAACTCTCTCATTTATTTGTTTATTTATTTACTTAAATCAGTAGACAATGGATTTTTTTTCCTATGGGTTACAGTTCATTAGTATTAGGATGGCACAAAAGCAGTCATGATTACTTTCAATGGCAAAACCGTGATTACTTTTGCACCAACTTAATATTATAAATTTTATTGCTTAATTTGCTTAGTTTTATTTTCTCTGTCTCAACTCTGGAATCAGCCATTTCTCCAAGGAGCCCTGATTCATTTCATTGAAAATGATATTTAGAAGCCATAATATGGTTGCTAGGTGTCCTCATTTCTACTGAGAGATTATTCCTGTAGGCCTTTTCAGTTTCTTATTAATTTCTATTTATGTCATCATTTTTCTAAGTTATTAAGGGGAGCACTTAGCTCACTAATTTTTTAGTTTTCTTAAAATCAAAATATTTAGTGCTATAAATTTTTCTCCAGGTAACTTTTTTATTTGTTAATTTATTCACCAAATATTTAATACATGCCTGAGGCTCTATTTTAGGTGCTTGGAACACATCTGAATAAAGCAAAAATATTTCTTTATTTGTGGAGTTTACATTCTAGCAGAGGAAGACAAGTAATAAAAACACATTTTAACTGCATTCTAACTAGTTTTTATATGATATTTTTAGTATTCAGTCCTATCTATTTTCTGATTTCCATTGTGATTTCCTTTTTCCCCAGAGAACGTAGCTTTAATAATATGCCTTGGTATTTGTTGAGACTTGTTTTCTGGGTGAAAATATGGACAGTTTAAAAAAATATTTTAGATGGGTTTGAAAAGAATGTTTTTAATTATTAGTGTTTTTAAAAATCTGGCATGTAGAGAAAAAACTTAATTGCATTGTTTCAATGTATTTATTGTCTGCTTGCCTATACATTATGGGACTGTATTAAAATCTTTCACTATTTTTGTTGCAATGTTGTTAATTTTTTTTCCTGTTATTCTGCTAGTTTTTGACATGTATTTTGAATTACATTTTTAGATGATTTCAAGTTCATAATTATTATCTTTCTGTTGCACCATTCCTTTTGTGATTAGGTTAGACTAAGTTCATATCTAATCATTCTTTTTTCCTGAGATTTATTTGGTTTTGAAAATATTTGTTCTAGTCTTTTAAAGTTAGTTTGTACTTATTAATTTATTTTCTATATTTTTACTTTGTTCCTCTGCATCACTAGATTCTAGGTTTGTCTCTTATAAATACATTTATATTTTTAGCAGTCTGACAGTTTATTTCTTCAGCTGGTGAACTTAGTGTATTTAAGTTTATTAAATTTATTATAATTACTGACATATGTAATCAAATCTAAGATATTATGTACATATGTGCAGCCCATATTAGATGCTTAAAAAATTCAGAATTGTTACTTCCTCTTGTGTAATTTCTTTTGTGTTTCTGTAGGACCTGATTTAGATCTAATACCTAATGCTGCCCATTAAACTATGACAGAATACCCTTAAACTTTGTCTTACTTAAGGAACTCAGAATACTCAATTGTTGCAGTCATATCTTAATAAACATTTTTTTCATTGATATCAAATTCATGGCCTGCTGCTCTGTTTTGGTCTGGTTAATTACCTTTTCTACATACACAAGAATTTTTCTTCTCAGTGCCAAATCATTAAGTTAAACTCCACATGTAATACTATCAGCTATGTACATAACTCAGTTAAGTAAAGACAAATGGACAGACAGGATTGAGTGTGTGTGTGCATAAGCAATAAAAACTGTGTCATAACTGTGTGTGTTCAACAGCAGCTGTAAGATGTCATCACTTTTAAGATGCATTCAGATTTCAGAGATGTTAACATATGAAAAAATGTATGGCTAAAAATTGATTTATTCTGGTATTTTAAATTTTATCATATTTTGTATTTTTTTATTTATTCTAACTGTGTTTTCTTTTTCTTTAAACCTTTTTTTCTTGCCATCTATTAAATTGTTTAGATGTTCTTTGTTATCTTCTTTGCTCCTCTACTGATTTTGGAGTTATGAACCTCTGTTATTTTAGCATTTACCCTTAAAATTTCAAGGTATTCATTCTATTTAACAAACTGTAAGGTTAATCACTTTCCTACTTTTTTGGATAACTCAAGGGCATTATAGCATTTTAACTCTGATTATGTTTTTTCTACATTGTGTATTGTTTTTGTCAATGTTTTCAGTCTACCGTATTCTAGATTGCAGTTTTACATTTGTGTATGAGTATTTGATGAACATGTATTTAATGATGCATCTTATAATCCAAGACATCTTAGATTTCTCCACCAGACAGCAAAAGCATATACCATGTCCGTGTGTGTGTGTGTGTGTGTGTGTGTGTGTGTGTGTGTGTGTTTCGTCATTTAATTTCACTAGCTATAATGGGGCTTGGCTTACAGTAGAAAATAATTGTTTTATTAATTGAATATTTATTCTACTATAAAAAGACCCCCGTGGTAACCAGAACAATCTCTTTGTTCATATGAAGCACCCGTCTCTAAGAGCTTTCTAGTCTATTGATTTTAGACTTAGACCCTCCAATATAATCTGACTTGGAAGCTTATAGAGAATATTGTGTAGCTATCAAGTGATGACCGTAGAGATTTTCAGGTATGTGTCAACACATGATTATGTTCATTCAAAATGTGAAAGGAAAATTCAGATTATAAAGTATTAGGGATATAATGATTGAAATAGGCAAGGAGTCAGGCCTTGGACTGGTTGGACATCTTTTTTTTCCAGTGGTAACATAATCTGTTATTTATCTTTTTGAAACTCCCAATTTTCTTCTGTACTTTTTAGCTCATTACATTCTGTTGGGCTTAAAGATTTATTTGCTGCTGTGGTCACTTGCTTTTAGACAAGAGGCAAAACTTTCTACTGACATCTACCTCAGGTAGCAAAGACAAGTGCCTAAAGTAGGTACTGTTTTATGTGGGCCAAGGTTGGAACAGGATATTTCTCCTTAGCCTTGGAAACCATACTAGTAAAATAGTTTGTCATAGGGTGGGAACAAAGGTTTTCTCACCACTTCTTCTATACCAAGACTGGACTCTGTCCCCTGTGTATACTTTCTTAAGTTTTCTTCTTGGAAGAAAGTAGATCTGGCTAATCCACTCTTCCTGCAGTTTCCTTGGGACTATTGCATGGGTAAAAATGAAATAACTTAACATGAATGAAGGCGAAAAGATAATTTTAAGTGCTATAAGTAAGTTTAGTTTCTTTGTTATTGTAAAGAGGTCTGGGTTTACAATTTAATATTAGCTAGAACTGAAATAATACTTTCTTCAACTGGTTAGTAGCATTACTGATAATTAAAAACTGGAGAATGGTTAAAAAATTGTGTATGATTGGCTCAACTGTAATGTACAATTTATATATTTTAATAAAATTTGTGACATATTTATATCTAAGATGTGAATTAATGGAAAAAAGAGAACAGCTGACAGAATTAGAAGAAAGAAAAGGACAATGTTAATAATAGGACACAGCATTTTAATAAATATATTGAATATATAAAAATATATTGTATCTCAAGAATTTGATCCTGTTCTCAAGTCTGTTTCTTACTGATTTTCAATTGTAGTCAATACTAGTTCCACCTTTTTTCCTTTCCCTTTCCTTCAGATATCATCCAGACACTTAACACAGTGCCTGGCATATTCTAGCTTCTTGATAAATATTTTAGCTATTTAAATGAGTAAAGGAATGAATGGATGGAGAGTGAACAAATGAACAAATGACGAAGTTTTAGTCTTTTGCAGTACAAATAAATATACATGTAAATTTATTGAGATTTGAAAACAATCTTTTAATAATTTAGGTAATGTAGAGGAAAAGATTAATTTGTTTTAAAATGTGAACACTGGAGTTTTTAAAAGTAGGGTTATACCATCTGAACAACAAATGGAAAATAAGAATTAAATGAAGTAAGGTAACTTGAAATGAATTTATGAGATATGTATTCTTTAATGTAAAAGTAATTGATTAGCAGGTTCAGAAGAAATTTTTAAAGACTTTATTCTCATTTTAACCTTGCTTGTTCTAGAATTTTGTCAAGTATAAATTGTTTTGAACTTTCTACTTAAATTGAATCGATTTTTATTTCTGAATCATTATGAGTTCTAATTTAGTGCAATTGAATCAATGGATTTTACTGTGTATTATATATTGGCTTTAATGCCATATATCTATAAAATATTTCCCCCCACATTTTGGATCTATATGATTCATATTGTCTATTGATTCTGTATTTAAATATTTAAATATGGTTTATGATCAAGTGTATGGGCTGTGATGTCAGGCAGATTTGAGTTTCTGTCTCTAATATATTACCTCTTAGTGAGCAATTTATTCAACGTCTCAAACTTCAGTAGCATCTTGTATAAAATGGAGATGATTGATTCCTACTACCATAAAAGGTTGTTGGGATGACATAATAAACTTACATATGTAAAATGCTTAGCATAGTGTTTGGGATATGGTAGGTATTCAGTAATTGGGAATAACTATTTTTCTCCATTGTGTGTTTTTTTTGTCTGCAGCTTTCCCCACAAATAAACCAGAGAAAGATGCAAGACATGTAGTAAAAGTGGTAAGTGTTGCTCATAGATTTGTATTTCACATATATTTGACTTTTTCCTTTTCTGCTTTAAGAATGTTTTTCACGTTAATTTTTGTAACTATTGCCTTATCAGTAAACCTAATGTTATCATCTGTTTTGACGTTGTTAAAACATTAAAACTGGAGAACCTTTGTTTTTCTGTATTGCCAGCTATTACCCTGGTGTGTTATCTATCTAGCTATTCTTTCTCTTTCCCTCCCAAATGCCCTCCCACCCTCTCCACCTCTCTAATCAAGATGGTAAGGTCCTTAAAGGCAAGCATAGGGTTTTATTTCTTTTTGGTGTCCCCTGTACCTAGTATAATGAATGAAATATAGTAGACCATTCAGTAAAGGTATCATGTGTGAGTGGACCACAAGGAGAGTTTGCTGTGTATCACCTGGATGTATATGTTGGTATACAGTGAGTGTTGTATATGTTTATGTATACAGTTCTCAGTGCTTCTAGTAAGTGTTCTCTGTAAGAAAACTACTTTTATGTGTAAGACTGTATAGGGATAGTGGTACAATATGTCGTTTAAAAATTAGATTCTTCAAGTTTATTTAGTGTTTTCTGAGATTTTTAGTGGAAATCTGGTGCCTATGTTTTATAAAAAGTGATTCAAGTACTATTATATACTACATATATATGTTCATATTTTCACAGTTGAAATAACAATTCCATCTTTGGGATTATTTTTTTCTAGTAAAATTAATTATTCTTTTTTTTATAGGAATATCAAGAAAATGGCCCGTTATTTTCAGAACTTAAATTTTATCAGAGAGTTGCAAAAAAAGACTGTAGTAAGTAAAATTAGCAAAGCAAGCTACTTCCATATATGTGCTTGCTAAAGTGAGTGTTGATATTTTGGTCTTTTTCTGGCCTTCTGGAAAATTCTTTTCAATAGAAATTTTATTGTAAAGTGATACAGTTAACTGTTACAACATATAAAAGCAAGACAGATGGTATACAAATCTTGACATGACATACATAATGGGTTATATATTTTAAGTCAAAGTTGTTTCTACTACTTTACATAAAATGTTAGGTTGTTAATCTAAGCTACCAAGAGTTCCCTAAGTGTAAAAGATAGTAGAATGAAATTATTTCTTTTACAGTAAACCATTTGGATAGGACGGCTATAAGGAAAAAACATTAAAATGGGAAGTAGATATATGTATAAAAAAAGAACGATTGTAGAATGGATTGGGGCAAGGTGTGTGGAAATGTGAAAATGATTAAACTTTAAGATGTTTAAGAAAATGTTAGAAACTTGAATGCTGGAAAATTAATTGGAGCTGGATACCAAGTGTAAGAATGACCAGTTAGAAGACTTGAATGGGAAATGAATATAAGCAGAGAGGAAAAATAACAGCATTTTATAAATGTGATATAGATGGGCTAAGAAAAACATTAAAGAAGTAGACAGGAGTAATGACTGTATAGTCAAGGTCCTTTACATCATGTTTAAGAATAAGAGTGATGGGTCTGACCTCAATATTTAACTTAGTTTTTCTTAATAAAGTCTTCTAAACATTAAGACTGTAATCTTTACTAATTGCTTAAACTATGTCACAGTGACAAATAGAATCCATTAAACTTGATTGTTTATCAGTAGAGCTGTCTTAAACATAAAAAACATAGGCTAGAGTCATGAAAAAAATGATGAAAGTTAACTTTATTTAAGTGGATTTGATTTTTTGTAAACTAATCAAAACCAGTTTTTGTATAAAGTAATTTCAAAGTAAGATGGTTTTTCTGCCCAATTTCTGCTTTTTTTTTCTTTTTTTTTTTTTTTTGGTCCATTATGGTTTTAAATCTTGAAGTAATAGGGAAGAAAAAGCCATCTCTCTACTGATCTTTTGGTGGTTAACATATGTTATATTTAGAAATTTAGCTAGTATATAAGATAATGAATTCTTTTTATAGATTGAAACATTAATATATATGGTATCAATATACAAAGCCTATGACTTGTTTTTATTGATTTAATTTAAAAATTTCTAATTTTTTGTTAATTATAGTGGTAACAGTTTGAGGCCATTAGATAGAGATGTTTGATTGAAAAAAAATTATCTTCTAGGAAGATCTAATTACTTTTTTGGTTAGCTAAATAAATTTGTCTGTAGAAAGGTGACAAGTATCTTTTCAAATAACATGAATCTTTTTAAAAATAAATTTGTCTTTGTAGTCAAAAAGTGGATAGAACGCAAACAACTTGATTATTTAGGAATTCCTCTGTTTTATGGATCTGGTCTGACTGAATTCAAGGGAAGAAGGTAAAATGGAATTATTATAATCAAATATTTCTTTATAACTATTCCTTATGTGGTCTATGAGTTAACTATTGCCATGTAACAAATTACCAAAACATATTGGCATATAACCACAAACTTGTATTGTCTTAGTTTCTGTGAGTGAGGAGACTGCAAGTGGCTTATCTGTATGATTCTAGATCAGGATCTCTAATAAGGATATGTAGTCAGCTGTCTGCTGGGTTACATTCATTTCAAGGCTCATCTGGGGAAGTATTTGTTTTCAGGGTTCCTCATGTGGCTACTGGTAGGCCTAAGAAGATCTACTTCTAATTTACTTATGTGATTGTTGGCAGGCCTTCTTACTTCCTGATCATGTGGGTCTTTGCATAAGCTACCTGAGTGTTATGAAAAATAGCTGGCTTTCTCTAGAGCAATTAATTGGGGGACGGGGAGAGCATGCACACAAGTGCATTCAAGAAGGAAGTCATCGTTTTTTGTAATCTAATCTTAAAAGGGATATTATCGCTTCTGCTTTATTCTCTTTGCTAGAAGCTAGTCACTAGATAGATCCATTGGTCCTGAGAGAGGAGAATTCAGTTCTATCTCTTGAGGAGAAGCACAACAAATAAGTTATAGAAATATCTTTAAAACCACCAAATATGGCTAGTCCTATATATAATTTATTAATAGTGTTTGAAAAAAGAAAAAAAGTGTGTCATTTTATATTTACCCTTTTGTGCCAGAGACTTTTATATACTTTATCTTATTTTGTCCTTTGAATAGCCTGTTAAAATAGGTGATATTATTTTTATTCCATAGATGAGAGAATAAGCTCAGATGTCAGTACTTTGTTGAAATGGTCTCTAAATGCTTTAAATTTAAAAAAATGAGCAAACAGTAATCTTGAAGTAAAGGACTGCCACTGGGGGACTGAATGGCTGATTGAATCATGATACATCCATATCATGTCATATGTAGCCCATTAAAGAAGTCCATTAGAGCTATACTAGTTGCCTTAGAAGGATTTTGATGAGATACTATTGAAAAAAGTAAGATGGAGAAAATACTTATAATATGATCACATTTTTGTAAAACAAATTCCTAAGTGTGTGTGTTTGTGTATGCATGCATAGATATAGAATAGGGGCTGATGTGGATATATAAATGAAGGGAAGGAAAGAAGGTATGGAAGGTGCCAAACAGAACAGAAAAGGAAGAAGTGCACTTAAAGACATGTTTATAAATGTATAGAGACGGTATATATGATCTTATCAAGAAACAAACAAATATAAAATTCATGTGGCTGGGCACGGTGGCTCATGCCTGTAATCCCAGCACTTTGAGAGGCTAAGGCAGGCGGATCATGAGGTCAAGAGGTCGAGACCATCCTGGCCAACATGGTGAAACCCCGTCTCTACTAAAAATACAAAAATTAGCTGGGTGTGGTGGTGCATGCCTGCAGTCCCAGCTACTTGGGAGGCTGAGGCAGGAGAATCGCTTGAACCTGGGAGGTGGAGGTTGCAGTGAGCTGAGATTGCACCACTGCACTCCAGCCTGGTGACAGAGCGGGACTCTGTCTCAAAAAAAAAATCAAGTGTGTACAATAATTTGTTCAAGGCCATATGGCAAGAAAGTCATGGAGTCAAAATGAATTGCATTCAGTACTATCTAATTTAGAAAGATTTTTTCATTATGTAAAACAGTGTGAATGGTTCAGTACAGCATTCTCTTATAGAAAATCAGCTGCAAAGTAAATATTGAGCAGTTTCTGCAAAAGAATAGCAGAATTATGAACGTGCATTCATTCTCTAATGGTTTAGATTGCATTATACTTAGTTGTTAGGTTGAGCGTAATTTTTCTTGTTTCAAATTAAATAGACAGTTTCAAGCATTACTTTCTCAGGATGATCTCTTTTTGATGCTTTTTTCTTACAGTTACAGATTTATGGTAATGGAAAGACTAGGAATAGATTTACAGAAGATCTCAGGCCAGAATGGTACCTTTAAAAAGTCAACTGTCCTGCAATTAGGTATCCGAATGGTAAGAATTACTTATTTCGCATGCTCCATTTCCAAATTGTTTACTTCTTGCAATATAGAAATCTTTTCCCTTTGTGGAATTATTAGAGAATGAAGGATTATTGCCCTAGAGACATCAGTTATTAGGAGTAGAGGCTATTTTGGTGAAATTGATAACAATGGGCTCTGTAAGTGACAGAATGTGCTGTGTATGGCACTGCAAACTCAATTAGGCTTTGGTTCTCCAGTCTGATCTTCTTTTTCCTTAGAGCTTTGTTTTACATACCAGAACAAGCTTTCATTGCTGTAAGAATAACCTTTCTTTTGTCAGTTATAACAATGCAAATTATGGCAAAATATATTGTCAGACATTTTAAACATGTGATGGTAGGGGGGTGCTATGAAGTTTTTATTATGAGTTTGGGATGGTGGCAATAATTAGTTGTGACAATGAATAAAATATACTTTGCCAAAGCAGAAGCAACGAACTCTTAATAGCACTCAGGCACACATTTGTTTATACTACATATTTGTCTTATATGTTTGTATTTGGTTTGTTTAAGTCTCATTTTTTCACTTTTGAGTAGCATGAAGCTGCTTATGCCAGATTGGAATGCAGCAAATAGAATGCATTAATTTTCTCATTTATCCATCCTCGAAGCCAGCAAATGTTTATTGAGTACTAAGTGTATGTAACATGCAAGGCTGAAGGGCTTTAGAGATGAAGCTAAGGAGTTTTCTATTACCATACAGAGGAAGAATACCTTTCCCTTTGCTCATGGACATGGCATTTTGTTCTGAGATTCTCAAGGCTTGATTTATAATTATTGCTTAGGTGAGGAATTGCTGAGTGGGCTTCAAGATTATTTCACCATAGATCTCTGATTTTATGCTATGTTTTTCCTCTTTGTGCAGTGCGGTTTGGCTACTGGGCTATCAGGAATTAGGCATAAGCATTTTTGAATCTTGATTTTCTTCCTTTGGAACTTCAACTAAAATACTTGATTTTTGAGGATCATTTTACTTTTTTCTAGGATGAGCAACCAGAAGATGTGATATTTTAGAATAATTAACCAGTAATTGTGAAATACATCGCTTTGTCAATGTTAATATGAAAAAACCCATGTTATTCTATATTCAAAATGTTGAAATTGATCATGAGTTCTAAATAGCAGTAAACCTTATTTTATCTATTTATTTTCACAGTTGGATGTACTGGAATATATACATGAAAATGAATATGTTCATGGTGATATAAAAGCAGCAAATCTACTTTTGGGTTACAAAAATCCAGACCAGGTAAATACATACTTTTGCTTTTAATAAAGGTCTTTAATGTATGAAACTGAAACATTCAGAAAACAAACTTCTAACCCAGAAGAGTTTACAAATGAGGGCGTAACATGATGAATGTTGTAATTTATCTTACCTGCTTATCTAATTTAATCTTTGTACCAAACTAATGAGTAATTAGGATGAGAAACTGAGAGTCAGAGGGGTTAAATAATATGTTAATGGGCACACAGTTAAGAAGTGGCTGAGCAGGAATTTGAATTTCTGAGCAAATATAGATAAGCAAAGAACCATCAAAATCCAGTGGGAGTAGAGATGGATTTATGTAGAGGTTAAAACACTGTCATATTAGTTCATCATTTCCTACTGTATAACCAATTAAGTTTTAAGCAGAGAGGCCGGGCGCGGTGGCTCATGCCTGTAATCCCAGCACTTTGAGAGGCCGAGGTGAGTGGATCACCTGAGGACAGGAGTTTGAGACCAGCCTGGCCAACATGGTGAAACCCTGTCTCTACTAAAAATACAAAAATTAGCTGGGTGTGGTGGTGGGTGCCTGTAATCCCAGCTACTCAGGAGGCTGAGGCAGGAGAATTGCTTGAACCCAGGAGGCGGATGTTGCAGTGAGCTGAGATGGTGCCATTGCACTCCATCCAGCCTGGGCAACAAGAGAGAAACTCCATCTCAAAAAAAAAAAAAAAAAAAAAGTTTTAAGCAAGCTTTTCCATTAAAATTTTGTGTAATGATGAAAATATTCTGTTTGACTGTCCAATATGGTAGCCATTAGCAGTATGTGGCTAAGTACTTAAAACGTGGTCAGTACAGTACCAACTGCTGATGAGTATTTGGAGTAACAGGAACTCTCATTTGTTGCTCATGGAAATTTGTTGCTAATGGAAATGCAAAATGATACAGCCACTTTGGAAGACAGTTGGGCAGTTACTTAGAAAGCTAGACACTCTTAACATACCAAGCAGCAGTTGTGCTCATTAGTATTTACCCAAATGAGTTGAAAACTTACATCCACACAAAAACCTGCACGTGAATGCTTGTAGTCGGTTTATTCATACTCGTCAAAACATTGAAGTAACCAAGATGTCTTTGAGTAGGTGAATGGATAAACTGATACATCCAGATAATGGAATATTATTCATTGCTAAATAGAAATGAACTTTTCAGCCATGAAAAAACATGGAAGAAACCTAAATGTATTTTACTATGTAAAAGAAGCCAATCTGAAAAGGCTAGTTACTATACAATTTCAACTATATGACATTCTGGAAAAGGCAAAACTATAGAGACAGTAAAAAGATCAATTTTTTACTATCTCCATAGGTTAGAAGGGAGAGGAAGGATGAATGAGTGAAGCACAGTGGATTTTTAGGTCAGTGAAACTATTCTGCATGATACCATAATGGTGAATACATGTCATCATTTGGTTGTTAAGATCCATAGAATGGACAAGACCAAGAGTGAACATAATGTAAACTGTGGCTTTTGGATGATAAGGATTGTCATTCTTGGTTCATTCACTATAAAAAATGTGCTACTCTAGTGAGGGATGTTGATAGCGGAGAGACTTTGTGTGGGCTTGAGGTATATGGGAACTCACTGTATTTTCCACTCAGTTTTACCTACATTGCTCTAAATTTACCTAAATCAAACCTAAAACTTCTCTAAAAAATATAGTCTGTTTAAAAAATGTAGATTATATTTTTAATATTAAAATATTAATATTGACAAACTGAATTTTTAATTTAACTTAATTTAAACTTAAATAACAATATACCTAGTTGTTACTGTATTATCACGTTTAAAGAGTTAAATGATTGAGTCTATAAAAAATTAGAAAAAATGTAATTGAATATTTGATCTCTGCATTGGTTAAATTTCTTAATAAAAATTTTTTCAAAATGAAAGGTGAATGAGAAACTGGGAAATAGATAGATAACAAATATTTGAGAATATCTAGCCGGTACTAAAAAAAAAATTAAGAAAAACACTAAATACCTTGTTAAAGCGATGATCGAAAAGAATGAATAAACAGAACAGAGAAGGAATATGACTGTCCTAGAAACAGGAAAAAAGGCTACCTTTGTGAAAAATGAGAAGATAAGGAGACCAAAACAGCGAGGCACCCTTTTTAAAGGACTTATCAAATTGGAGAGGTCTAAAATAATAGTCTGATAATATTGAGGCTGATAAAGGTACCAGCACTTTTAGAATGCCCTTTGGGAATGTAAATTAAATGGTATAAGAAAGTTAGTGGAAGGGAATTTGGCAATATCTGCATACTTTTCAAAGATTAGGTTTTTTGAGATATAATTTACAAACAGTAAATGTCACGCTTTTAAATGTACAGTTTGATATCTTTTGACAGATGTATGTATCATGTAACCACTACTGCCACCAAGATGTAGAACATTTCTTTCATTCCCAAAAGTTCTCTCATTCCTGTTTAGAGTCAGTCCCCTTCTCCTGGCATTGCTCCCAGCCCCAGGAGATGATTTCTGTCCCTATATTTTTACATTTTCAGGAATGGTATATAAGTGGAATTGTAAGGTATGTACTGTTTTGGGTCTGTTTTCCTTCACTTAACATAATGCTTTTGAGATTTATCTTTGTAGGTCATTAGTAGTTCATTCCTTTTTATTGCTGAGTAGTATTCTATTGAAAACTGCTACAATTTCTGTTCACCTGTTGATGGCTATCTGGGTTGTTTTCAGTTTTTGACAGTTATAAATAAAGTTGCTATAAGCTAAGCATTCACATACAGCCTTTTGTGGAGACATATGTTTCACTTTCTTTTGAGTAAATAACTAGGAGTGGAATTTCTGGGTCATATGAAAGTGTATGTTTCACATGGAAACTGCCAAGTTGTTTTCTGGAGTGACTGTACCATTAAACATTCCCATCAGCAATGTGTGATATTTCATTTGCTCCACCTGGTTTCATTTTTTTTTCCATACTTTAAGTTCTAGGGTACATGTGCACAAAGTGCAGGTTTGTTATATATGTATACATGTGCCATGTTGGTGTGCTGCGCCCATGAACTTGTCATTTATATTAGGTATATCTCCTAATGCTATCCCTCCCTCTTCCCCCGACCCCATGACAGGCCCCGGTGTGTGTTGTTCCCCTTCCTATGTCCAAGTGTTCTCATTGTTCAATTCCCACCTATGAGTAAGAACATGCGGTGTTTGGTTTTTTGTTCTTGCGATAGTTTCCTGAGAATGATGGTTTCCAGCTTCATCCATGTCCCTACAAAGGACATGAACTCATCCTTTTTTATGGCTGCATAGTATTCCATGGTATATATGTGCCACATTTTCTTAATCCAGTCTATCATTGATGCACATTTGGGTTGGTTACAAGTCTTTGCTATTGTGAATAGTGCTGCAATAAACATACATGTGCATGTGTCTTTATAGCAGCATGATTTATAATCCTTTGAGTATATACCCAGTAATGGGATGGCTGGGTCAAATGGTGTTTCTAGTTCTAGATCCCTGAGGAATCGCCACACCGACTTCCACAATGGTTGAACTAGTTTACAGTCCCACCAACAGTGTAAAAGTGTTCCTATTTCTCCACATCCTCTCCAGCGCCTGTTGTTTCCTGACTTTTTAATGATTGCCATTCTAACTGGTGTGAGATGGTATCTCATTGTGGTTTTGATTTGCATTTCTCTGATGGCCAGTGATGATGAGCATTTTTTCATGTGTTTTTTGGCTGCATAAATGTCTTCTTTTGAGAAGTGTCTGTTCATATCCTTTGCCCACTTTTTGATGGGGTTGTTTGTTTTTTTCTTGTAAATTTGTTTGAGTTCTTTGTAGATTCTGGATATTAGTCCTTTGTCAGATGAGTAGGTTGCGGAAATGTTCTCCCATTTTGTAGGTTGCCTGTTCACTCTGATGGTAGTTTCTTTTGCTGTGCAGAAGCTCTTTAGTTTAATTAGATCCCATTTGTCAATTTTGGCTTTTGTTGCCATTGCTTTTGGTGTTTTAGTCATGAAGTCCTTGCCCATGCCTGTGTCCTGAATGGTATTGCCTAGGTTTTCTTCTAGGGTTTTTATGGTTTTAGGTCTAACATTTAAGTCTTTAATCCATCTTGAATTAATTTTTGTATAAAGTGTAAGGAAGGGATCCAGTTTCAGCTTCCTACATATGGCTAGCCAGTTTTCCCAGCACCATTTATTAAATAGGGAATCCTTTCCCCATTTCTTGTTTTTGTCAGGTTTCTCAAAGATCAGATGGTTGTAGATGTGTGATATTATTTCTGAGGGCTCTGTTCTGTTCCATTGGTCTATATCTCTGTTTTGGTACCAGTACCATGCTGTTTTGGTTACTGTAGCCTTGTAGTATAGTTTGAAGTCAGGTAGCCTGATGCCTCCAGCTTTGTTCTTTTGTCTTAGGATTGTCTTGGCAATGCAGGCCCTTTTTTGGTTCCATATGAACTTTAGAGTAGTTTTTTCCAATTCTGTGAAGAAAGTCATTGGTAGCTTGATGGGGATGGCATTGAATCTATAAATTACCTTGGGCAGTATGGCCATTCTGATGATATTGATTCTTCCTATCCATGAGCATGGAATGTTCTTCCATTTGTTTGTGTCCTCTTTTATTCCATTGAGCAGTGGTTTGTAGTTCTCCTTGAAGAGGTCCTTCACATCCCTTGTAAGTTGGATTCCTAGGTATTTTATTCTCTTTGAAGCAGTTGTGAATGGGAGTTCACTCATGATTTGGTTCTCTGTTTGCTGTTGGTGTATAAGAATGCTTGTGATTTTTGCACATTGATTTTGTATCCTGAGACTTTGCTGAAGTTGTTTATCAGCTTAAGGAGATTTTGGGCTGAGACGATGGGGTTTTCTAAATAATCATGTCATCTGCAAACAGGGACAATTTGACTTCCTCTTTTCCTAATTGAGTACCCTTTATTTTTTAAACTTAAAGCTCTCTTATTCATTACAGTTTATTATAAGTGGTTTTCCAGTTGTTCCAACACTATTTATTTTAAAATATCTTTGCTTCAGTAATATTAGTTGTTACTTTTGTCATATACTCAGTTTCCTCATGTACTTGGTTTTATTTCTGTACTTTCTGTTGAATCACACTGATTTGTCTATTTATATAACAATACTAGCCATAAATACTTTTGCATTAATTTCTGAAGCTTTATAATGTAATTTAACATTGGATTGGACTAGTAGTTCCCTGTAGTTCTCCGTTTTCAGTGTTATCTTAGCTATTTATACTGGATTTTCTGTATTATTTTGTTTAGTTTCATTTAAAAGGAATACTTGTGCTGGGCGCGGTGGCTCACGCCTGTAATCTCAGCACTTTGGGAGGCTGAGGCAGGTGGATCACGAGGTCAGGAGATAGAGACCATCCTGGCTAACATGGTGAAACCCCACCTCTACTAAAAATACAAAAATTATCCGGGCGTGGTGGCAGGTGCCTGTAGTCCCAGCCACTCGGGAGGCTGAGGCAGGAGAATGGCGTGAACCCGGGAGGCGGAGCTTGCAGTGAGCCAAGATTGCGCCACTGCACTCCAGCCTGGGTGACAGAGCGAGACTCCGTCTCAAAAAAAAAAAAAAAAAAATACTTGTTGGCATTTTCATTGAAATTATGTTAAGTTTTAAAATTGATTTGGGGGAGACCTCACATCTGTATGATGTATAGATGTTCATATATGAACAAGGAATGTTTCTGTTTTTCATCAATTTTGCATTAGGTCATTAGGATTATTTTAAAGCTTTCCTCTTACTAGTTTTGCATATTTCTTATTATGTTTGTTTCAAAATATTATACCTTTTTGTTGATATTGTCAGTGGATTTATTCTATTATTTCTTATTATTTTTGTTTATATATATGAAGAATTTTTATTTCCATGCATTAATTTTATATCCTGTTAATTTACGGAATTATTTGTGGTTCAGAGTGGTTTTAGTAATGGTTCTTTAGAGTTTTCTTAGAAAACTGTCATATGCAAGTAGATACAGTAGTTTTTCTTCTTTTACAGTTCTTGTATTTAATTTGTCTTGTCTAATTGCATTGTCTAATACATTCAATACAGTATTAAATAGTAAGAAATGTAATCATCTTTTACTCTTCTTAATCTTATTGGAAATGCCTGAAGTATTACCCCATTAAATGTGATGATGGCTTTAGGACTAAGGTTTGTGTATATGTTTGTGAATATATGTGTGAATATGAGTGTGTGTGTATCTGTTTATAAAGTCAAGAAAATATCTGTCAGCGCTTATGTTCTTGAATGTGTTTTATTTTTATGGAATGGGTATTGAATTTTTTCAGAGTCTTGTTTAACATCTATAGAAGTAATCATATTTGTCTCAAATATTTTAATATGGTATAATATATTGCTGAGCTTCTAATATTGAACCAACCTTTTAAGGAATAAATCTTGATGTGTTATGGCATAATATTAGTGTAATGTTGAAGTTCATTAATATTTTATGATGTGATTTCATATTGATATTCGTAAGTGATATTGATCCATAGTTTTCTAATTTTGTTCTGTTTTTATCATATTTTGGTGCCAATATATTTGGTTCATAAAAAGAATTTGGAGGTTTTATTTTCTGTGTTTTAGAACTATTTCTGTTACATTGGAACCATCTGGTCTTTGAATGTGAAACTATTTGATTCTTTTGCTTTTCTGCGTGGTAGTTCTTTGTGATTCTCTACTTTTTTCAGAAATTGGTTCGATTCTTTATCTCTATTTGAGTGTCTGTTTTAGTTGTTATTCATGTTATCTGTTTTTTCAATTTTATTTGTGCGGTGGTCTGCATTGTAGTTTTTTATGACTTAAATTTTTCGTACTTCAGTGATTGTTTCTCTCTAGTTATTTTAAACTTTATTTTGCTTTCTCCCTTTTTCTATCCTTATGAAGGTGGCCAGTAGTAGTCCCTTTTGTTAATTTTTCAACAAAGTTCAATTTTGACTCATTAATGAGATTTTTTCTTTTTTCTTATTATTAATTTCTGACTTTTTCTTTATCTTGTCTTCATATATACTCTTTTAGTTTTACCTTTCTCTTCTTTTTCTAGTTCTCCAATTGGATGTCCCTCCATAAGAGTTTAAGGCTATGAATTTTCCTCCCTTATTGTTTTATATTATATCTAATTGATTTTGATATGTAATGTTTTTGTTCTCTTTATTCTTTGGAAAGTTTGTATTTTTCTTTCACCAAAAAAGTAGTTCAGTAGGAAATTCTTAAATTTTTATGTGGAAGGGCCTTTAAATATTGTTTTTATTAATGCCTAGACTTATCACAATATTATTATGATATTGTTTATAATAAGTTTACTCTTTGGAATGCACTGATGCTTTAATTGTGACTTAAAAGCTGATCAGTTTTTGTCAGTCTTCCATGTTTGCTTGAGAAAAAGGTAGTCTTATTTTCAGAGTGTAAAATGCAGCAAAAATCCAAAAGATCTACCTTATTCACTGTATTGTTTATGTCATCTATATCTTTATTTACTTTTTGTCCACCTAAGCTGTTTTGTACTAAGAGTGGTGTTTAAACGTCTACTCTTATTAGTGTTTCTCTCTGTCTCCTTGTTCTCCTATAGTTTTTTTTTAAATAAAAATTATTGCTGTTATTTGGTATACATTTGTCACTATATTTGTTGTGTTTTCATCTTGTTTTATGTGTTTTTTTAAATCTTTCAAGTTGTTTAGGGGGAGAGGGACTATTTATGAAAGTTTGTAATTTTTATTGTAGTACTTGCTACAACAACAGTAGTTGTATCATATTTAGCAGAGGAAATGTAGTTTGTCCCCTGTACTGTTTGGTTAAAAATGTAAATTAAAAATTAAAATTTAAAATTAAATTATACAGTCATGTACCATATTATGATGTTTTAGTCAGCAACGGACCACATATACAACAGTGGTCCTGTAAGATTATATTGGAGCTGGAAAGTTTCTATTGCCTAGTAATATCACAGCCATAGTAATGCCATAGGGCAACACATTACTCATGTGTTTGCAGTAATGCTGGTATAAACAAACCTGTGCTGCTCTTTGTATGAAAGTATAGCACGTAACAATTATGTACACTATATAGTACTTGATAATGATAATAAACAACTATGTTACTAGTTTATATGTTTATTTATTATACTATTATTATTTTAGAGTATATTCCTTCTACTTATATAAAAAAAAAGTTAACTGTAAAACAGCCTCACACAGGCCCTTCAGAAGGTATTCCAGAAGATTGTTTGTTATCATCGGAGAGGACAGCTCCATGCATGTTATTGCCCCTGAAGACCTTCCAGGGGGATGAGATGTGGCAGACAGTGATATTCATGATCTTCACCATGTGTAGGTCTAGGCTAATGGGTGTGTGATTGTGTCTTATTTTTTAACAAAAAGATTTAAAAAAATAAAAAAGAAAATAAATATAGAAAAAGCCTACAGAATAAGGATATAAAGTATTTTTGTATAGCTATACAATGTTTGTTTAAAGCTAAGTGTTATGACAAAAGAGTCAAAAAGTTTTAAAAAAATAAATAGTTTATAAAGTATGGTATGGTAAGCTAAGGTTAATTTATTATTGCAGAAAGAAAAAAACTGTAAACACATTTAATGTAGCCTACGTGTACAGTGTTTTATAAGTCTACAGTAGCATACAGTAATGTCCTAGGCCTTCACATTCACTCACCACTCACTCACTGACTCATCTAGAGTAACTTCCAGTCTTGTAAGTTCCATTCGTGGTAAATGCCCTATACAGCTATACCATTTTCAAATCTTTTATATGGTACTTTTAATATACCTTTTTATGTTTAGATATATTTAGATACACAAATGCTATTGTGTTACAGTTGTCTGCAGTATTTACTATAGTAACATGCTGTATAGGTTTGTAGCCTAGGAGCTATAAGTTGTACCATATAGCCTAGGTGTGTAGAAGGCTGTACTATCAGGGGTTGTGTAAGTACACTCTAGGATGTTCATACAATGATGAAATTACCTAACAATACATTTCTTAGAACATATCCCTGTCATTAAGCAATGCATGACTATATTAAGAAACATGTACTTACAGAAGTGATACGTCTTAAGAAAAGACAATAAAAATCCATTTTAACTAACTTTTTGGTCATTTATTGTGTTAGGCATTATGTTGTATGCTTTAATAATATTATGTTTATAATTACAAATTTGTGCTTCATTGATAGGTAGGTAGATATTATCCTCTTGGACCACCTAACCTAAATTTTTAAGCTCTCTTTGAAACCTTGCTGATTTTGGAATATGATATGGTGTTGCACAATCGATAACTAGAACAGTGGCCTTATAAGGGCTGATCTAGTATTTGGAAAACAAATG
The DNA here is from genome assembly GCF_000001405.40 of Homo sapiens. Taxonomy (NCBI): domain Eukaryota; kingdom Metazoa; phylum Chordata; class Mammalia; order Primates; family Hominidae; genus Homo; species Homo sapiens. The sequence goes on from NC_000002.12 coordinate 58,099,075, forward strand.
TATCCTTCTGGTTTCCTTACTTATAATGGAATTATCAAAAATGATAGTGGTGTTTCGAGTAATGCCCACTTGCCTATATCTCCCAGTGTCACTTGGAGGAAGTTGATGCAGTTTGAGATTACAACTTTTATTTCAGTGGTGCAGATGCTCACATCTGGAAAGGCACCTCTTTGTTTATCAGAGACATATTCTTTTCATGCAACAGTTTATATGAAGCCTTTCTTAATGATTCTAGTCTATACTGAGCTTTTCCTTTTTCTAATTTCCTATAGCTCCTAATGTATATTTTAAGCCTGTGAGTGCTCAGGTCTCACTTGCCTTCGTGTTGTCTTACATTCTGAACTAGAATGAACTCCTGAGATATACTTCTTTTATATTCCTCGCAGCATGTGTATTTGTATTCCTTTCCTATAACCCTTTAAGAAATACTTTATTGACTGCTTAAGGCATGAGGCCAGTCTTGATGCAATATCTGTCATCTCAGTGCCAGGAATACCTTGATTGTAGAGCTCCTTGCCCCATTATGCTGCATGTGTTTCTGTTCTCAAGCTGCCTACTAGGTCAAAGAGGATGGCCCTCACAGGTAGAGAATAATTCTTCATGTCAACATGTGAATGTTAGTATACCTGTGTTCTTTAAAAACACTTGTCACAGTGCCTTCTTGATTCCTGGCGATTGTGGTGGACTAAGAGTCAAGAGACTAGGTTCTAGTTTCAGCACTGCCATTAAGCAGAATTGCAAATCACTTAACCTGTATAGGTTTTGGCTTTCTAGTGTATAAAATATGAGATTTCAACTAAGTGATCTCAAAGGTTCCTTCTAGCTCTAAAATTCTATGATTTTATGAAAATGTGTTCTCCAAATACTTAAAGCTCATTGCAGAAGGTAATGTTTCTTATAGTGTTTCCAAAGTGTCTTGCCTATTGTTGTACAGTTAAGGAAGTTGAAAAGTAGAAAAAAATTTAGTGATCTGGAAGAAGGAGTTGTAATACCTGACCTGTATCTGGTGGCAAAATACTTACTTTCAAAGTTCCTAGGATATTCATAGGGCAGGGTCATAAGCCTCATTAAATCCGCTTGTTTACTGTTTGCTGAAGGGAATTCTAACACAATCCATTTATCAATCCAGGTTGCTTGTAAAATGGAGTGTGAATGTGTTTGTAAGAATTTTGCATGGAATGTGCACATAATATGGTCACTATTTAGAAGTAGTGTTTCTTGTGTTCACCATCTATAAAATTTAGTTTTAATCACTTCTATATATAAACAATATAAAATTTACTTACTGTAATATCTGTATTTCATTATCTCCAGAATAGTGTTATATATTTTAGCTTAATGATACTATAATATTACTAGGTGGTATAGCTGGTGAGACTCCTTTAAAGTGGATAGGGTTTATGTGGATAGCATTATAGTATAGATTAACATGCATGTTATTCTTTCCTTCCTTGTGAGGTTCTGCTGTATATTTTCAGATAAGCAAAGAGACTTTGGAAATAGTTCCTGTGATTTTAATTATTTGGACTTTTAAAATTAATATTTTATGAGTTTTACATTAATAGGATTATTTTAAAATTATATACTTTCACTTAATTTTTCTTTGTCTCAGTATAACTATCATATGAATACATTGTTTTTGAACTTTGATAATTTGCTATATATCTAGATTTTGTGGATCAGTTCTATAAACTGTTTTAAGGTTCTCTCAGTATTATTTTTCAAAGAAAAATAAACTCTATGCTAAATTTTATTTCCATCTAACTTTGTGTAATGTGTTAATACTGCTATTTTACTAAACATCAATTTGTTTATTAAAGTATTTTAAAATTGTTTAATCAAATGCATTTTTTAGGTGAATAGTGTTCCTATTGTCCAAATAAATTCTTAACATGGGCCAAACCAGATTAGAGCCATATTAAAAAATTCTTGTTTTGAAATCCTATGTAAATGATAGCTATCTGAATATGGGCTACTAGAGTCTTATTATTATTGGAGGGTAGTGATGGATGGAAAATATTGAAGAAAACAGCATAATAATTATGATTTAGAATCCATGGTTTCGATATTTAAAATATTTTGTGAGGCTTCTTTTCCAGTGCTCGTAAGATTCCAAGGCAAGTAAGAAGCTGTTACATATATAATTTTCCCTGCAGAACAATGTGATTTTTTCAGTTTTTTATTTTGAAAATTTTTAAACATACTGAAAAATAGAGAACTCCATATGACTATCACTTTTAAATTTTTTATCTATTTTAGATGGAAATATTTTAAAGTAAATTATAGATATCATTACATTTTACTTAAATACTTTAGTATGTATGCATCTCCAAAAACTAAGGACAATTCACTATATTATCAGAATGTGATTACTACTCTTAACAAACTTCACAGTCATTCCTTAACGTCAGGTACAGTTTTATCTTCCATTTTCTTCTTTATCCTAAAATATGAGAATATAGAAATACAGATTAATTATTCTAATTGTACTTAAGCTCTCTTTTTCTTTTTTTGTGACTTTTTTTAGTGGACTTCTCTGTGCCACACTTTCTCTTTCTATAAATCCAGCAGCCTAGATCATGTGATTTCTTTGGTCCCTTTTATCTCTCATAGCCTCTGTCTGACTCACTGGGTAGAACTGGTTGTTAGCTAAAATCTGATTTAGGAAACTGCTGGTGTAGAACCAGGTGAATGTGATCTCTTTGATATATATGTACATCAGGAGAGCATGTTTCTTATCTTATAAATAGGAAAACAGGGATTGTGTTTATTTCAACTTATATTTCCAGAAGCTGTTATAGAGCATGAAACATAATAAGCATTCAATAAGTGATGAGGGCACAATGAGAAATTAAATAGATTAATGCATAAATGAATTTGTTAATCAATGTTCAGGAGTAACAGGTCAAGCCAACCAAGTAGAGCTGGATATACTGTATATAGCCAGGTATAGTAACTAAGTCATTTGTAGATTTCTTAAATTCCCATTGGGAAAGATCTACCCAATGTGTCAAAAGATCTTTACTATTTAATATAGCCATTATGATTATTTCCTTGCAGAAAACTCTTTTAGCACATTCACATAGAGAAACTGACAATGGGAACTGCTGTGGGTTGAATTGTACCTTCTCAAAAGCTGTTAAAGCATCATGAGGAAAAAGCCCTCACATATTAATATTAACCTTGAATATAAATGGATTAAATACTCCAATTAAAATACACAGATTGCCAGAATGGATTTTTTTTAAAAAATGAACCAACTATATACTAGTTACAAGAAACTCACCTTGCTGGTAAAGACACTTATAGATTGAAGGCCAAGGGATTGAAAAAGATATTCCACCCAAGCAGAAACCAAAAGCAAGCAGGAGTAGCCATGCTTGTATCAGATAAAACAGGCTTTAAATCAAAAACAGTTAAAAAAAAAAAAAAAGACAAAGGAGGTTATTATATAATGATAAAACAATTCAACAAGAGGCTATACCAGTCGTAAATATACATGCCCTGAACTCAGGAGCAGCCAGATTCATAAAACAATATTACGAGACCTAAATAAAGAGATAGCAATACAATAATAATGGGAGACTTCAACACCCCACTCACAGCACCAGACAGATCATTGAGACAGAAAATCAGCAAGGAAACTAGACTTAATTGAACATTAGATCAAAAGGATGAAACAGATATTCCAAGAGCTGCAGAATATACATTTTACTCATCATCACAGGGAACATTCTCCAAGATAGACTGTATGTTAGGCCACAAAACTAGCCTCAATACATTTTAAAAAATCAAAATCATATCAAGTGTCATGTCAGACCACAGTGGAATAAAACTAGAAATTAATACCATGAGTAATTATTGAAACTATACAAATACATGGAAATTAAACAACACATTCCTCGCTGATCTTTGGATCAATGATGAAATTCAGATAAAAATTTTTAAATTTTTGAAATGAATGAAAATGGAGACACAACATACCAAAGCCTTTGGGATACAGAAAAAAGCACTGCTAACAGGGAAGTTTATATCTTTAAGTGTGTACTTCAAAAAAAGAAATCACAAATTAACCAAACATCACATCTCAAAAAAATAGAAAAACAAGAACAAACCATACCCATAGCTAGCAGAAGAAAATAAATAGCAAAGATCAGAGCAGGACTAAGTGAAATTGAGACCAAAAATTAAATAAATAAATAAAAATTAAAATAAAAAAATCAACAAAATGAAAAGTTTGTTCTTTAAAAAGAAAAACTAAATTGATAAACTACTGGCTACACTAACCAAGAATAGAGAAGTTCCAAATACACATAATCAGAAATTAAAAAGGAGACATTACAACTACTACCACAGAAATGCAAGAGATCATCAGAGACTTCTGTGAACAACTATATGCTTATAAACTAGAAAACCTAGAGGAAATGGATACATTCCTAGAAACATACAACCTCTCAAGATTGAACCAGGAAGAAATAGAAATCCTGAAGAGACCAATACGAAAGTAGCGAGATAGAATCGGTAATAGAAAAATCTTAACAAACAAAAAAAGCCAGTAACCAAATGGATTAATTGCCAAATTCTACCAAAAGTACAAAGAAGAACTGGTACCAATCCTACTGAAACTGTTCCAAAAAATCAAGGAAGAGGAAATTCTCCCTAGTTCATTCTACAAAGCCAGTGTGACCCTTATACCAAAGCTAAACAAGGACAAAACAAAAAAGAAAACGTTGGATCAATATCCCTGATGACCATAGATGCAAAGTCCTCAACAAAAACTAGCAAACCAAATCCCACAGTGCATTAAAAAGATAATACACCATGATCAAATAGGTTTCATTCCAGGGATGCAAGTATTCTTGTGATGTGATTCATCACATAAGCAGAATTAAAAACAAAAACCATATGATTATACATGCAGAAAAAAAGCATGTGATAAAATTCAGCATCTCTTCATGATAGAAACCCTCTACAAACCAGACGTAGAAGGAACATACCTCAAAATAACAAAGGCCATATATGCCAACATCATACTAAATGGGGGAAGGTTGAAAGCAATCTCCCTACAAACTGGAATAAGACAAGAATGCCCACTTTTACCACTCCTATTTATCATAGTAGTGGATAGCCTAGCTAGAGCATTCATGCAAGAGAAAGAAATGAAATACATCCAGATTGCAAAAGAAGAAATCGAATTATCTCTATTTGCCAACAATATGATCTTATATTTAGAAAACCCTAAAAACTCCTGCAAAAAACTCTTAATTTTGTTAAATGAATTTAGCAAAGTTTGAGGATATAAAATCAATGTATAAAAATCAGTAGTATTTCTATACACCAATAACAGTGAAGCTAAGAACCAAATCGAAAAGGCAATTTTATTTACAGTAACTAAAAAAATGAAATAAAATACCTAAGAATATATTTAACCAAGAAAGTGAAAGATCTCTACAAGGAAAACTACAAAACAGTGGTGAAATAAATTGTAGATGACACAAACAAATGGAAAAACATTCCATGCTTATAGATCAGAAGAATTGTTAAAATGAGCACAGTGCCCAAAACAATCTGCAGATTCAGTGCAATCTCTATCCAAATACAAGCATCATTTTTCACAGAATTAGACAAAACCATCCTGAAATTCACATAGAACTGAAAAGGGGGCCTGAATAGCCAAAGCAACCCTAAGCCCAAAGAACAAAGCTGGAGGCATCACATTACCTGACCACAAATTATACTGCAAGGCTATAGTAACCAAAACAGCATGGTTCTGGTATCAAAATAGACACATAGATCAGTGGAACAGAATAGAGAACCAATAAATAAAGCTACATATCTACACCCAAGTGATTGTTGATAGAGTCAACAAAAATGCACACTGGGGAAAGGACACCCTGTTCAATAAATTGTGCTGGGAAAATTGGATTGCCATATACAGAATAATGAAAATGGACCCCTATCTCTCACCATATACAACAGTCAACTCAAGATGGATTAAAGACCTAAATGTAAGGGCTGAAACTATAAAAAATACTAGAAGTAAAACAAGGGAAAGCTCTTGTGGACATTGGTCTAGGTAAATAATTATAGACTAAGACCTGAAAAGCTTAAGCAACAAAAATAGACAAGTGGGATTTAATTAAACTGAAAAACCTCTGCACAGCAAGAGAAACAATCAACCAAGTGAACAGACAACCTGCAGAGTGGAAGAAAATATTTGCAAACAATGCATATGACAAAGGGCTAATATCCAGAATCTATAAGGAACTTGACAAGAAAAAAAAATAACCCCATTAAAAGATGGGCAAAAGACATGAACAGATATTGTTTAAAATAAGACATAAAAATAGCCAATAAATATATGGAAAAAATGCTCAACATCACTAATCATCAGAGAAATGCAAATTAAAACCAACTGAGATATCATCTTATGCCAGTCAGAGTAGCTATTATGAGAAAGACAAAAAATAACATGTTTTCTAAAACCCAGATGCATACATGACCAAAGAGCAATTTATGACCAAAATATTTGAGCATCCTGCTTCACAAACTGTTACATATAGGCTTTTTTTTTTCAGTTAGTGTGGGAAAATGGCATTTCTGAATTTTGAATTACTCCTTGAACTGTGTAAATTAAATGAATTAACAGGTGCCCTTTTTTAGTGGCTCTTAAAAATCATGGAACTCCAAGGGGCTATGCAGGTAGCACTATTGCTAGCGACCTCAAATACTATCTTTGAATTTAATAGAATATGTAGTTAGTGTAAACCAAGTAGGCTACTTCCAATGCTGGTTAGTTGTGTTTTATGTAGACACAGCCTATGTATGTTGAACCTTTTTATAATATACCAATGACAGTCAAATTATATCAGCTAACATTTTGTGAGTGTCTGCTGTTTACAGATATACCAAGCTCTGATAATGCTTACTGATATACTGAAAAGTCTTGATTAGGTTCAGATTTGAATCAGACAAAGAGGAAGACCATTAAGCCAATGCAATCCAGATTTCCCTCTTCCATTGCTTTTTTAATTTTGTTAATATACACACACAGGTTGTGTGTCTTGATTAGATTGGAAATTGAGAGTATCATAGGTTTTTTCTTATAATCCTTGAGAACTTGTGTCAAAAGGACAAGTTGGAAATAGACTGTAATTGGAAAGATTTTCTATAATAGGTGAAGGTATTTTTAGTAAAGAGGCAACTGCTAGCCTATGAACTATTGAGGGAATTTTCCCCAGAAGTCTGGAAAGCCTGTTAAGTCACAGTCCTATTTAATCAAACAGGCTTTGATGTTTTGCTAAAAGAACCAGGTTAGAATAGAAAAGCAGATCATGAGGTCAAAATGCTATTATCATTTATAATATTACTAAATATACATCAAGGTTTTGTTTTGATACTTTAATTTATGGCAGTATTTAAGGCAGTCATAGTCTTGGTCCTAATGGGGCAGTAGATGGAATGACGCAGTAATAGAGGCACAGCTTTTCTGGTGGTTATCCAATATAATGACTTCATGAGCATGTCATTAAGTCTTTCACTCTCAAAAAATATGAAAGGATAAAATTTTCAGTTTGTAAATATGAATAGATAGTTATAAGATCTAGGAGGAAAAAATGATCCAACATACAAAGCAGATTATTTTTAAGGATAAGCACATGTTGCTTCCATCAAAACAGAAACTGCTTTTTACAGCTCACTAAAAGATAAAAGATAAACTATAGTTTTGAAAACTATATCTTCATGCTTATTCTAATAAACCTCATATTTGAAAAGTAAGCCAGCACCTCTTTAAGGTTCTGTTACTTTGTCTACATGGAATTGTGATAAAGCACTAGTATCATTTGTAGGGTTTTATTATTGGCAAACAAGGCAGGGAAATTGAGGAGAAACAAAAAAGTACTGTATGATAATACAAAACACAAATTTGCATCAAAACATAGTAGCATCTTTGAGGCTACATCCATGTTTTAACAGATATGAGTGATTCTTGTGAACATAAACATGTTGCTGCTTCATTTGTCATATAGTGGTTTCATAAGTATGCATGTAATTTATTGTGAAGATTTTTGCCTTATGGTATCTTGTGGAAAGATAGGAAAATATTATTCCCTATTCAAATAAGATAAATGATGGCTTTTTGTTTTAAAGAAAAGCTTTAAAGTTGCTGAATACATATATATACTCTTCCCAGTGGGTTTTTCTTTTTTATTGATTGAAGACCTTTTATTTTTTTTGTAAAACAGCTAACTACAATGCTGTTCATACTGCAAAGTAACTGGCCTTTTTCAGTTTCTTGTGAATCCATTCAGTTTCAAGGTCTTCTCTCTTTACGCATGATATTTTCTGGAACAATTTATGAAGTTTAAAAAGTGGTGTCTAGCTTGCCATTTTTAATAGTCATGAATAGTGACTTTCTTCCTAGTATAATTTTCATCAGTCTCTCATTATGAGACTTTAATGGACACATTTCTCATTACAGCAAGGTGTGCTAATTAAGAAGATTTAATTGTACAAAATTGTCTAAATTATAAGGTGGTATATTGTACAACAGGAAAAATTAGTTTACTTAATATTGTTCTTCATAAGAGACCTCATTTTGAGAGCTGTGTATGCATCTATTCTCTCATGTGAATCTTCATTGTGGACATAAAATAGTAAACAAATGTGATTTAATGTGTGGTCACATCCCAGTGGACAGTGACATTTGTTCACATTAGTGTCCTGCTTCTTTCTCTGCCAGCTCCAAATGTTTTTCTCCCTGTCTTCAGCTTACATTCTCCTACTTCTTATATCAACGTCGTATCAAGCATTGAGAAATGCTTCCATTTGAGCCAGTCTGGCTGCTTGCTACTCAGGATTCTCGGTTGCGTGAGAAGCAGGAAAGCAGCAGATTTTACCCTTGTTGGGAAAGAGGCCCTTTACGTCTTTCCATCAACTTTTACTCTGTCACTCAGTCCTCCATAAACGGACAAACCAGGAACTAGTTGGATTAGGGTGTTAGTCACCAGTCAGCTAGTTTGCTTTTGGTACAGAAGTGATTGAGTCATTTTCTTACCAAATCTCTCCTTCCTCTTCTTACTCTCTTTTTCTCTATTTATTGAATCATCACTTACTCAGCCAGTTACACTGTTTTCAGAGTTGTCTTTGACTCTCTTTCTCTCAACCCTCTTATCCAGTAACTCGTGGATCTCTTCTTTGTCTCCCTTCTGCTCACCACTGTCCTAGTCCGAGTTCCTGTTGATTGCCTGTATTGTTATATTCTCCTAAATGGACTCTCTGCATCCATTTCCTCCTTATGATGCTGCCAGTGCTGATATTATTATTCTTTGCCAGAAAAATCCTTCCGTGACATCTATTTGCTTACAAAAATTGTGCCCCACCTTCTTAGCATGGTTTCCAAGGCTCTCTGGAAACTGATGCAAACCTTTCTTTCTTTCTTTCTTTTTTTTTCCTGGCTTGTGTTGTGTTTCCACCAACTTCTCCGCCCTCAACACACACTGACACATGCTCTGGTTGCCCTCTTGTATGTTTCTTCTTCCCTGTCTCCATCTGTGGAAGTCTTAGAAATTATTCAGTACCCAACTTAAATGTTGCTTCTTTCTCTGAGTCTCCCTGTTAGAAATAGCCTTTCCTTGCTGTAAAATTTCATAGACTTTTATGCTTTTGTCAGAGTATATGTTACCTCTAGGCCTGTAGATGTGCTTATGCCATCTCCCTTTCTGCTATGTGAGGCACATGGAAAATAACTCAGAACTTCTGGTCAGATTGATTTAGGTTCAAATCTCAGCTTTGCCAGTTACTAGAATTTATTTGTTTTACATAGATCACCTACCCTTACTCATCCTTTTTTCTCATTCTCAAAAGATCTTAAAATAACTTCTTAGGGTCATGAGGATTAAATGATTTGACTTATGTAAAGTACTTAATGCTCTTACAGCAAGTATTTGATAAGTATGCATTCATTTTTCTTTTTCTTTTTTGAAGTGTATATTTCCTGTTTATTATGCTTGGCACTCAGGTATCTGTTAAGCTTGGCACTCAGGTATCTGTTAAAAAAATTTAGTTCAGTTTGTCTAATTATTATCAATTAAATCAATTAAAATTTATTCAAACCAACTGTGCAGAAGGCCTTAGAGTAGGTGCTGTTATGGATACAAAAATGTATATATGACATTATCCCAGTCCCTCAACCCCTAGGAGCCTACAGCCTTTAACTGTGGAGCCAAAGCATAAATTTAAAAAAGCTAAATAACTTTGTACATTGTTAAAATAGCAGATTCATGTGGACAAGGTGAAAACCCAGTAAATTGCCTTGTGCTTAAAAGGATCTGTAGTAGTCCATTCCCATACTGCTATGAAAAAAAAAAAAATACCCAAAACTGGGTAATTTATAAAGAAAAGAGGTTTAATTGACTCACAGTTCTGCATGGCTGGGGAGGCCCCAGGTAACTGCTATCATGGCAGAAGGGGAAGCAAATATGTCCTTCTTCACATGCTGGCAAGAGAGAAGTGCTGAGGGAAAGGGTGAAAAGCCCCTTATAAAACCATCAGATCTCAGGAGAATTCACTCACTATCACAAGAACAGCATGCGGGAACCGCCCCCATGATCTAATCACTTCCCAGGGGTCCTTCCCTCAACACATGGGAATTACAATTCAGATTACAATTCAAGATGAGATTTTGGGTGGAGACACAGCCAAACCATTTCAGGTTCTACATATAAAGGCCATTCTCTTATAACTCACCAGAGAGAGGATTTCACAGGGTTCTTTCTTTCTGTATGTAAATATATATATATATTTGGAGATGGGGTCTTACTCTGTTGCCCACAAAATCAGAGGGTTCTTTTTAATCATTAGCTTTACCCATCCATCTGGAAAAATAAAGCGGTGTAAAAGCCTACAAGCATCAGGAAGCAAAGAAGACTGGAAGTACAGGCTTAACTAAGTGTAGAACTTGGGAATATGGCATACCTGTGTACAAATCTGGCCAAGTGAAATAGGAAGGTGATCTGGCCAGGTGAAATATGAAGGTGATTTTCTAGACGGACTGCTTAGTATATGAAACTTGTGTTTTTCATGATCATACTCAAAGGCTAATTTGCTTTTCATCTTCATTCCATTCTTTAATCAAGGCTGTGATTTATTGACCCCTCTGTCATAAATTGGGGAGAACATGTATATACATGTATGTAGCAACTTTAAAGGCTTTTCTTCAAAACAGAAAGCAATCATTTATTTTAATAGGGCATAATATATTCCTATTTTTTCAATAACATACCATAATGCAAAAATCTTAACAATAAATCAAATGCATATTTACGAAAATAACTATATGACAAAAAGGGAATGAAGCATGGAATGAAGCAGCAGCATGTTTATGTTCACAAGAATCATTCATATCTGTTAAAAAATATATGTAGCCTCACAGATGCTACTGTGTTTTGATACAAATTTGTGCTTTGTATTATTATACAGTACTTTTTTGTTTCTCCTCAATTTCCTTACCTTGTTTGCCAAGAATGGGGTTCTTGGGGAGGCTAATACTGAGATAGAATTAGGAGGGCAAGGGCTTTTTGGAGGCAGGAAATCTAATGCCCATGTAAGATAAAAGGGGAGGAAGCAGGATTGAACAGGGAAGGCTTCCAGAGCGGGATGTTGATCTGACACTTGTGAAAGGAAAGGGAACCAGAGGCAGAATTGAGGAGGGAGAGCTTCAGACATGATGCAGATCTGACAAAATCTCAGTGCCCACTCCCGACATTGGGGAGCTCCAGAGCAAAGCTTGCCTATTAGGAGAGACCCCAGCTATGTAGAAATAGTCACACCCTCTCCATGATCAACTGCCCAGGAAGAGTGTGGCCTTGGTGCACACGCTGTGGTAGGACCCAGTGGTCCTGCCCCTAGTGGATGTCGACTTATTGCATTCCTTACAAGTAAAGGGCCGCTTCTTTCTTGATGGGATTACACCTCAGTGGCTGCAACACTACATTTTCAATCACAAAGTATCAAAATGGAAAGCCTGTAAAAGCGTTAGTTAAAATTAGTTGTTTATTGGAGGAGTCGAGAAGTTCACTAAAATAACAAAACCCTTGGACAGGCTGGCCTTAGTGAGTGTTGAGTGGCTTACGTTGTTTGGGAATATATTTTTCATCTGTTAAATGTTGATAATGACATCCATCTTCCCTATCTACCTCACAAAGTTATAAAAAAAAGTAATGTCTAAGAAAGGCAAGAAAATCATGTGAGAGTCAATACAGTGTAATAGAAAAATCTCTGTGTCAAGGTGAAGGGAAGCAGGTAAGGCTGTCCCTCGTACTCATGGAGAAGGGAAATGATGGCTACATTCAGAAAAAGTGCATAAAAGGACAATCATTTGAAATGCATTAAGGAGTCTGGGCGTGGCAGCTCACGCCTGTAACCCACCATTTTGGGAAGCTGAAGCAGGAGGATTGCTTGAGCCCAGGAGTTCAAGACCAGCCCAGGCAAAAAAGTGAGACCCCATCTCTATTTTAAAAATATAAAAATAAATGCATAGGGAGTAACTATTTATATATTCCTGTGGCTAGTCTTACTACAACGCAAATAATCACACCTACCTGATCCTGGTATAAATCTTGAGTTCCACAGACAGGCCTGTTTAAAACTAGGGGTATTACACATATTTACAATTAAAATGAAAAATATTAGCCGTTTGTTTTTGATTTCACAGAAAAAAAAAGGTAATATATAAAAAACTTTGAACCAAAACAAGTTTTATTTTAGATTATAGATTGGCAACTTTTTCTGTAAAGAGCCAGAAAGCAAATATTTTAGGCTTTTATGAGCTCTGTGGGTCACATATGGTTCTCTGTTACATTTTCTTCTCTTTTTCTTTCCCTTTACAATTCTATAAAATGTAAAAATTATTCTTAGCTTTAGGGTGTATAAAAATAGGACCTAGACTGTGACCCCTACTATAGATTTAGTTCTGCACAAACTCATTTTTGACTTCAACATAATTTCAGAAGTTGACAGAACCCTTAATTCTATATTGTATTTTTGAAAAAAGAGAATGGAATTTGGAAGTCATATCAGCCAGGATTCGAATCCTGCTTTCATCCTTTACAAGCTCTGTGACTTGGGCAAGTTATTTAACTGCTGGGATGCTCAGCTTTCTTATATGTAAAATAAAACCAGTGCTACCAGGCTGGATGTGTTTGTCTAGATTTAATGAAATAATTTGAGAAAGGTACTTTGCCCAGTGATTATTAGATAATAGAACCTCAAAAGATATTACTTCATTTCTTCCCTTCCTTTACTTATTTGATGGTATTTTCTAGCCTTCCCTCCCCCACATCTCCTTTGTTCTAGCAAAATTCTAGACTGTCTTTCTCTACTGAGTTATCTTAGTAGAACTCTCAGTGTGACCTAATTGTAGTCTGTAGGGGTGGATAGAAAACTTCTCTTCCACGCTTCTCTGAAGGGTCACTGGAATGAGCTGACAGTATAGTAACAGGAAAAAAAAAAAAGGCCTACAAATTTATTATGTACATGGACACGGGAGTCCTGAAAATATGAGACTCAAAGAAGGTCCAGATGGTTGAGGCTTAAATACCCTCTTCATATGGAAGAGGGAAGTGGGGAAGTATATGCAATTTTAGAAGCAAATGACTTTTAGGGGAAGTGAATGAGCCCAAACAACAGACTACTGGCCTCGGACAAAGTTGTTCTGAGCTCTGGGGGACATTGCAGCACATTGTGGGAAGCTGAAGGGTGGAACTTCATTATGAACACAAGTTGTCTTAATATGTAGATAAAGTCTTTTAGGTAATCTCTTGGAACTGCCCTCAGAAGAATAAAAGCCTGTCTGGGTGTGGTTATGACTTTTAGTCTTTTCTTTGGTGACTAATCTTTCCTGGTTATTTGATGAGATTCCTGGGGAAGGAGTTTTAAGACAATTGCATTTCTAGGCCAGGCACAGTGGCTCACGCCTGTAATCCCAGCACTTTGGGAGGCCAAGGGAGGCAGATCATGAGGTCAGGAGTTCCAGACTAGCCTGGCCAACATGGTGAAACCCCGTCTCTACTAAAAATACAAAAATTAGCTGGGCGTGGTGGCACACGGCTGTAATCCCAGCTACTCAGGAGGCTGCGGCAGGAGACTCACATGAACCCGGGAGGCGGAGGTTGCAGTGAGCTGAGACTGTGCCACTGCACCACTCCTACCTGGGCAACAGGAGCGAAACTCCGTCTCAAAAAAAAAAAAAAAAAAGACAGTTGCGTTTCTTCTGGAAGAACTTCCCTTAATCAGATGATGGAACTTCAGAGAGAGCCCCTCCTGCTGCTTCTGGAAAGAAAGAGGACCATAGAGACTTTCATGCGGGTCCGTGTGAAGAGACCACCAAACAGGCTTTGTGTGAGCAATATGGCTGTTTATTTCACCTGGGTGCAGGTGGGCTGAGTCCAAAAAGAGAGTCAGCGAAGGGAGATAGGGGTGGGACCGTTTTATAGGATTTGGGAAGGTAATGGAAAATTACAGTCAAAGGGGGTTGTTCTCTGGTGGGCAGGGGCGGGGTCACAAGGTGCTCAGTGGGGGAGCTTCTGAGCCAGGAGAAGGAAATTCACACGGTTAATCACTTAGTTAAGGTGGGGCAGGAACAAATCACAATGGTGGAATGTCATCAGTTAAGGCGGGGCAGGGCCTTTTCACTTTTGTGATTCTTCAGTTACTTAGGCCATCTGGGCGTATACCTGCAACTCACAGGGGATGCGACGGCTTGGCTTGGGCTCAGAGGCCTGACATTCCTGCTTCCTTATATTAATAAGAAAAATAAAACAAAATAGTGTTGAAGTGTTGGGGCGGCGAAAATTTTTGGGGGTGGTATGGAGAGAGAATGGGCGATGTTTCTCAGGGCTGCTTCAACAGGATTAGGGGCAGTGTGGGAACCTAGAGTGGGAGAGATTAAGCTGAAGGGAGGTCTTGTGGTAAGGGGTGATATTGTGGGGTTGTTAGAAGAAACATTTGTCATATAGAATGATTGGTGATGGCCTGGATACGGTTTTGTATGAATTGAAAAACTAAATGGAATAAGAGAAGGAGAAAAACAGGTATAAAAAGTCTAAGAATTGGGAGAGCTAGGACATCTGATTAGAGAGTGCCTAAGGAGATTCACCATAGTCCTGCCAGCAAAGATTATTTATTTACTTCAAGAGTTTAGAGTGGCAGTTTGGGGATAGCACCAGGAGATACCAGCTGTGATGGCTTGGAGAAACAGTGTAAACCAGCAGTGTAAACAAGAGCAGGGCATGTATGAGTAGTTGAGAATGGTGAATAGGAGTATGACTAGACAAAAGATAGTAGGGATGACAAGTTTTTTTGGGGCACAGTCTAAGTTGGTCTGGTGTCCAATGAGACTGGGGCCTAATAAAAAGGAGCGTCTATACAGGAGCTTAAATGGGCTGTACCTTGTAGCATTCTGAGGACAGGCCTGAATTCTGAGAAGCGAAAGTGGTAAAAGTATTGTCCAGTCCTTTTTAAGTTGGTGGCTGAGCTTGGTGAGGTGTGTTTTTAAAAGACCTTTAGTCCGTTCTACTTTTCTTGAAGACGGAGGACCATAAGGGATATAAAGGTTTCACTGAATACTGAGAGCCTGAAAAACTGCTTGGCTGATTTGACTAATAAAGGCTGGTCTGTTATCAGACTGTATAGAGGTGGGAAGGCTAAACTGAGGAATTATGTCTGACAGAAGGGAAGAAATGACTGTGGTGGCCTTCTCAGACCCTGTAGGAAAGGCCATTACTTATTCAGTGAAAGCGTCTATTTAGACTAAGAGCTATTTTAGTTTCCTGACTCGGGACATGTTGAGTAAAGCTAATTTGCCCGTCCTGGGTGGGGGCAAATCCTGGAGCTTGATGTGTAGGGAAGGGAGGGGGCCTGAATAATCCCTGAGGAGTAGTAGAATAGCAGATGGAACACTGAGAAGTTATTTCCTTGAGGATAGATTTCCACGATGGAAAGGAAATGAGAGGTTCTGAGAGGCGGGCTAGTGGCTCGTACTATAGCATAGCCTGCCTTTGCTGGTGTGTGGCGATTAGGCCTGGTGGAACTGCCATCAATAAACCAAGTGTGTTCAGGGTGAGGGACAGGAAAGAAGGAAATATGGGGAAATGGGGTGAATATCAGGTGGATCAGAGAGATACAGTCATGGGGGTCAGGTGTGGTATCAGGAATAATGTGGGAGGCCAGATTGAAGTCCGGGCCAGAAACAATGGTAGTTGTGGGACTTAAAGAGTGAGTTCAGCTGAAGGAGCTGGGGAGCAGAAAGTATATGCGTCAGGTATGAGGAAGAAAATAGATTTTGGAAGTTACGAGAAATGTAGAGAGTGAGTTGAGCATAGTTTGTGATTTTTTAGGGCCTCTAACAGTATTAAAGCAGCGGCAGCCGCTGCATGCAGACATGAGGGCTAGGCTAAGACAGTAAGGTCAATTTGTTTGGACAGAAAGGCTACACGGTGTGGTCCTGGCTCTTGTGTAAGAATTCTGACCACACTAACCATGCCTAGGAAGGAAAGGAGTTGTTGTTTTGTAAGGGATTGAGGTTTTGGAGATTAATTGGACATGATCAGCAGGGAGAGCACCTGTGTTTTTATGAGAATTATGCCAAGATAGGTAACAGATGAGGATGAAATTTGGGCTTGACTGAAGTAACGGGGGCTGTCTGTGAAGCCTTGCGGCAGTACAGCCCAGGTAATTTGCTGAGCCTAATGTGTGTCAGGGTCAGTCTAAGTGAAGGCAAAGAGAGGCTGGGATGAAGGGTGCAAAGGAATAGTAAAGAAAGCATGTTTGAGATCCAGAACAGAATAATGGATTGTAGACGGAGGTTTTGAGGATAGGAGAGTATATGGGTTTGGCACCACGGGGTGGATAGGCAAAACAATTTGGTTGATAAGGCGCAGATTCTGAACTAACTTTTAAGCCTTGTCTGGTTTTAGGACAGGTAAAATGGGGGAATGGTAAGGAGAGTTTATAGGTTTTAGAAGCCCATGCTGTAGCAGGCGAGTGATAACAGGCTTTAATCCTTTTAAAGCATGCTGTGGGATGGGATATTGGCATTGAGTGGGGTGAGGGTGATTAGGTTTTAATGAGATGGTAAGGGGTGCGTGATCGGTCGCCAAGGAGGGAGTAGAGGTATCTTATACTTGTGGGTTAAGGTGGGGGAATACAAAAGGAGGACGCAAAGGAGGCTTTGGATTGGGAAGAACGGCAGCAATGAGATGCGGCTATAGTCCGGGAATAGTCAGGGAAGCAGATAATTTGGTTAAAATATCTCGGCCTAATAAGGGAACTGGGCAGGTGGGGATAACTAAAAAAGAGTGCTTAAAAGAGTATTGTCTAAGTTGGCACCAGAGTTGGGGAGTTTTAAGAGGTTTAGAAGCCTGGCTGTCAATACCCACAACAGTTATGGAGGCAAGGGAAACAGGCCCTTGAAAAGAAGGTAATGTGGAGTGGGTAGCCTTCGTATTGATTAAGAAGGGGACGGACTTACCCTCCACTCTGAGAGTTACCTAAAGCTCAGCATCCGTGATGGTCTATGGGGCTTCCGAGGCAATCAGACAGCATCAGTCTTCAGCCGCTAAGCCAAGAAGGAGTCAGTCAGAGAGCCTTGGGCCAGAGTTCCAGGGGCTCTGGGAGTGGCTGCCAGGTGAGTTGAACAGTCCGATTTCCCATGGGGTCCCGCACAGATGGGACACGGCTTAGGAGGAATCCTGGGCTGCAGGCATTCCTTGGCCTGGTGGCCAGATTTCTGGCACTTGTAGCAAGCTCCTGGGGGAGGAGGTTCTGGAGGAACGCCTGGCTGCTGCGGTTCAGGCGTTTGGAAGTTCTTGTGTGCTGGAGATGTGGCTGGGGTTTGTCTCACAGTGGAGGCAAGGAGTTGCAACTTTTTTTTTATTATTGTACACCTTGAAGGTAAGGTTAAGTCCTGTTGTGGGGTTTGAGGGCCAGATTCTAATTTTTGGAGTTTTATTTAATGTCGGGAGCAGATTGGGTAATAAAATGTATATTGAGAATAAGATGGCCTTTTGACCTTTTAGGGTCTAGGGCTGTAAAGCATCTCAGGGTTGCTGCCACACAAGCCATGAACTGGGCTGGGTTTTTATATTTGATGAAAAAGAGCCTAAACGCTTCTGATTTGGGATAAAGAAAAATGAGCATTAACCTTGACTATGCCTTTGGCTCCAGTCACCTTTTTAAGAGTAAATTGCTGGGCAGGTTGGGGAGGGCTAGTCACAGAAGGAAACTGTAAGCCGGACCAGGTGTGAGGAGGGGAGGCGATAAAAAGATTACAGGGTGGAGGAGCAGAGGCTGAGGAAGAATTGGGACCTAGCTTGGCCTGGTGAGGAGGGGAGAGGTCACATGGGTCTATAGAAAAGGAAGATTAGAAAGACTCAGCGACGCTTGGGGTTGGGACTGAGGGGACAGGCGGGAGGGAAAGAAGGAAGATTTGGGATGAGTTGCACTGGGCACAGAGACTAGGAAGGGACTGATGTGTAAAAGAATGCCTGGACGTCAGGCACCTCAGACCATTTGCCCCTTTTACGACAAGAATTATTTAGATCTTGTAGGATGGAAAAATTGAAAGTGCCATTTTCCGGTGTTTGGAACTACTGTCAAGTTTGTATTGGGGTCAAGCGGCATTGCAGAAGAAAATAAGACGCTTAGATTTTAGGTCAGTGAAAGTTGGAGAGGTTTTAAGTTCTTAAGAATATAGGCTAAGGGAGAAGGAGGAGGAATGTAAGGTGGAATCTTGCCCATAGTGAAGGAGGCAAGCCCAGAGAAAAGAGTAGAGACACAGAGAAGGGGTAGGGGTTCCTTGCCCTCCAGAAAAGCAGAGAAAGGGTTGGGGCATGGAAATAAGGAATTGGGGCACAGAGATAAGAGGTTGGGGAGCGGAAATAAGGGATTGGGGGTTCTTGCCCCCTAGAAAAGTGGGACTTGCTGCTAAGGGTGAAGGAGAAGGGGTTGAGGGGTACTTGCCCCTCCCCCAGAAAAGTGGGACTTGCCACTAAGGGTGAAGGAGAAGGGGTTGAGGGGTTCTTGCCCCTCCCCCAGAAAAGCAGAGAAGGGGTAGAGACAAGGAGAGAAGGGGTTGGGGTACTTGCCCCTTCCCCAGAAAAGCGGGACTTGCCGCTAAGGGTGAAGGACCAAGGCAGGTGTCCCTGCGTGGTCTGACACCTTTGAAACGTGGGTGAATAATCAGAGAGGTGTCCCTGCAATGATTAAACATCAAGGGAAGGCTGCCGTCCCAGTCCGTGACCGGCACCGGAGTTTTGGGTCCATGGATAAAACGTGTCTCCTTTGTCTCTACCAGAAAATGAAAGGAATTGAAATTAAGAGAAGGGAGAGATTGAAGTGTGGTGCCAAGATTGAAAGGAGAAAGAGGTTGAGGGATAGTGAGGGAAGCTGGAGAAGATAGTAAAAAGAGGCCGCTTACCGGATTTGAAATTGGTGAGATGTTTCTTGGGCTGGTCAGTCTGAGGACCTGAGGTCGTAGGTGGATCTTTCTCATGGAGCAAAGAGCAGGAGGACAGGGGATTGATCTCCCAAGGGAGGTCCCCCGATCCGAGTCATGGCACCAAATTTCATGTGTGTCCGTGTGAAGAGACTACCAAACAGGCTTTGTGTGAGCAGCATGGCTGTTTATTTCACCTGGGTGCAGGCGGTTGAGTCCGAAAAGAGAGTCAGCGAAGGGAGATAGGGGTGGGGCCGTTTTATAGGATTTGGGAAGGTAATGGAAAATTACAGTCAAAGGAGGTTGTTCTCTGGTGGGCAGGGGCGGGGGTCACAAGGTGCTCAGTGGGGTAGCTTCTGAGCCAGGAGAAGGAAATTCACAGGGTTAATCACTCAGTTAAGGTGGGGCAGGAACAAATCACAGTGGTGGAATGTCATCAGTTAAGGCGGGGCAGGGCCTTTTCACTTCTTTTGTGATTCTTCAGTTACTTCAGGCCATCTGGGCATATATGTGCAAGTCACAGGGGATGCGATGGCTTGGCTTGGGCTCAGAGGCCTAACAGAGACAGCGAGCAGAAGTACAGAGAGAGATCTTGGTTCTGAGGCTTATTTCTGAGGCCTTTCAGTTTCCTTTAATTTAAAGTTCTGGCTGGGCGCAGTGGCTCACGCCTGTAATCCCAGCACTTTGGGAGACCAAGGTGGGTGGATCACTTCAGGTCAGGAGTTCGAGACCAGCCTGGCTAACATGGTGAAACCCCATCTCTACTAAAAATACAAAAAAAAAAAAAAAATTAGCCAGGCATGGGGCTGAGGCAGGAGAAACTCTGGAACTTGGGAGGCGGAGGTTGCAGTGAGCCGAGATCGCGCCACTGCACTCCAACCTGGGTGACAGAGTGAGACTCCATCTCAAAAAAAAAAAAAAAAAAGCTTTTAGCATGCCAAAGTGCTGTAATTTGGAATATTATTTTCTGAGCCCCAACAGGTCAAATTAATTTGTCAACATTTTGATTACTCGGGACAGATTAGTGACTTGACTTCTTCTTATGTATAGTTTCTACTCACCAAAGGCAGTCATTCCTAGATCTCTTTGGTAGTGCCCCATAATCTATATTTTAAAAATATATTAATATATACTAGTAACAAAACTTCCATGAGAATCTTAGAGAATATTTCGTAGAATTTTCTACAGGATATTTATATTATTTTATATTTATATTTATATTTGTATAAATATTTTGAACCGTATGCTAAGCTAGTGGATAAAAGTCCAAACTAGGAAAAAAAGGTTTATATGAAGGTTGAGGGTGGGGATGGATGGTTGTTCATTTTGCTAAAGGAGTCTCAACTCTGCTGTTTTCTTCAATAGCTTTTCGTGATTATTTGAATCCTACCTGTAACTTCCTATGAAGACCTCCAAGAACATTTCTCATTGGTTGGAAAACAGCAAGTGTTGTTGGAGAGATTTCTTTCTTAGAGTGCATGCTCCTCAAGGTTGCACCCATGCATGTTGTAAAATGTTTTTAGGTCTGAAATACTCATGGACTGAAACAGTCAGTAAATAGCTAATGTATGTCTACTTTGTATTGTTAGCTTTTTGTCTATTTTTTTTTCTTTTCTTTTTTTTTTTTTTTTTTTTTTTTGAGACAGAGTCTTGCTCTGTTGCCCAGGCTGGAGTGCAGTGGCACAATCTTCGGCTCACTCAATCTCAGCCTTTTGAGTTTAAGCAATTCTCCTGCCTCAGCTTCCTGAGTAGCTCGGATTACAAATGTGCACCACCATGCCTGGCTAATTTTTGTATTTTTAGTAGAGATGGGGTTTCACCATGTTGGCCAGGCTGGTCTTGAACTCCTGACCTCAAGTGATCTGCCTACCTTGGCCTCCCAAAGTGGTGGGATTACAAGCATGAGCCACCATGCCTGGCCAGGTTTTCATCTTTATATTAAATGTAAACCCTATACTGCCCTTCAAGGTTTGAGCAACCTAGCACAACCCAGAGGCCTGTAGCTTAGTGATGACAAAGACAGCCTTAATATTCCCCTTAGCTTGACACAACTTGACAGTCTTCTTCCTGACTGTAGGCCCCTGACGTCTCTTTTCTTAGAGCATTAACTTAAGAATACTTGAAATTAAAAATTCTTTTCTTTCCCTTTGAGATACAAGTTTTCTATCAGCCACCTGCCAGTTGTATAACCCAAGATGGTCATTCCTTTGCAGGATATTAGTCATTGTGGGAGGTAGGAGCCTTAGTACCAATTAGCAAACATAGATGGCGTGATCACATTGACCAGCCTTGCTGTAACATCCTCTGGTACTTTTCTACTGTCTCACCCCAGTGCTTTAAAACTCCCACCTTTTGTTTCACTGAAGTTTAGTTCAAACTCTCATCTATATTGCACTCGCCTCTCTCCTATTGCAGTAGTCTCGAATAAAGTCTTATGTTTTTAACTTGACTGGTACTATTGCCCTTTGACAGTGATTGAGAGTAAAAGCTCTAGAGTCAGAATTGCCATAGATTCCTGACTTCATTTTACTACACAAGCCACATAACCTCACTAAACTTCAGTTTCCAGATGAATAAAATGGAGATAAGGGGACTTACAGCATCAGCGGATGTAAGGCACTTAGCATACTGCTTGGTGCATAGTAGGCACCTCATAAAATTTAAGTCTTATTTCTTTGTGCTAGTGAGTACATAAAACAGCTTCTTGATAGCTCTTTTTTAAAATAGTAAACTATTATATTAAAATACAATTCCATTTGTGTAATTATCAGTATGTTCATTTTTCTGATATCTGCTTTGTAATGTGAAGCCTGTTTAGTTCTTGAAATAAAGACAAAAATGCATCAGACACAGTGAAAGCAAGCAACCTGTTCCATATCTGATCCTGATATGTCTAGTTAAGTTAGGGCAGAGAGATCAATTACTTCTGAGGCCATGTTAAGAAACAGCATCTGTGGGAAAGAGAGACAAACTGAAATATTTGTTTTCAGACAGCCTTGCAAGTTACTCCAACAAATGAAGAAAACTCTGTGCTGTTTATATTTTAAAGTTTAAAATATCTCTTACTGAGCCTATCCTAAAACCAAAAACTTAAACTAAAATTCAAATGCAGAATTTCCTCTTAATAGATACATTTTAAAGTGCAGATTGTATGGTAAATACTCTATTGTCTTGAAGCTGCATTATGAAATACTGCCTAAATCCCTTAATTTTAAAGAAATGTGTATGAAATGATACATTTTCCAAGTTGAAACTGCTTTCTTTTTCTGGGGAGGGGGAATGGTAACCACAGTTGGGAACTACTATTTTCTGACTACATGTCACAGTAAATGTCTAGTCAAAACACTTCTCCATTCAGTATATGGTCTGTCTGTAAAACTACTTCTCCCCCTTCCTTTTCTCTCCAAAAGTAATCTGAGGTAAATTCACTTGAATTGCTATCTGACTTTTAACAATCTGTATTCTGTTTGGAGACCCTGCTTGCAATTCTAACTGACTTAGAAAGGTAACAGTGATAATATGGATTCATATGAAAGGTCAAAAGTTCTGCATTGATGTTCCATTCATAAATACAGATAAAATAGTGGTGTTTCTTGTGTTTTGGTTGAGTCATTACCTCTTACAGTCTCTTCACTATCATTATGTTTCCTGTTAAAGGAGACTCATAACATTAGGTTTACAGTTGACCTATGACAATGCCAGGGTTAGGGGTGCTGACCCCCACTCCCCTGCACAGTCAAAAATTTGCATAATTTTAATTTTTGACTCCAAAAACGTTACTAATAGTCTACTGTTTACCAGAAGCCTTCCTGATAACATAAACAATCGAGTAATACATATTCTATAGTTACATGTATTATACATACCGTATTCTTACAATAAAGTAAGCTAAAGAAAAGAAAATGTTAAGAAAATCATAAGGAAGAGAAAATATATTTACTGTTTATTAAGTGGAAGTGGATCATCATGAAGGTCTTCATCGTCTTCACGTTGAGTACGCTGAGGAAGGAGGGGTTGGTCTTGCCATCTCAGGTATGGCAGAAGCAGCACAAAATCCACATATAAGTGGACCTGTGCAGTTCAAACCCATGTTGTTCAAGAATCAACTTTATCTTTTTAGAATGTTTGCTCTTATCTCCCCTTCCTGCTTGAAATAGTTTTATGTTTCAGGGAGGGGTTACAGGAAAAAGCAGAGCCTCCTCAACTGTGTGAATACAGATAAAAAGACATATTGTGGTTTATGATGTCTAGATGCCCACCTGGAGGGAAGGGAATTTAGGAGCAAAATAAAAAGATTAAAAATCTAAGTCAACTCAGAAATAAGATATGCCAATGATGAAGAAAGGATTTAAGTTGGAAAGTTAGTTGTTATGGCCCCCAGTTGTACATATTTTATCCTAAGGCACCATTTGGTTTAATAAAATGTAGATCTGAGGCTGTTCTTAACCTATCAGTTTCTTAAGACTTAATTATAAAGGTTATGTTTTCAGAGGACAAAGGCATTATTCATTTGTCTGTGCTTGTCTTCCAGGTTTATCTTGCAGATTATGGACTTTCCTACAGATATTGTCCCAATGGGAACCACAAACAGTATCAGGAAAATCCTAGAAAAGGCCATAATGGGACAATAGAGTTTACCAGCTTGGATGCCCACAAGGGAGTAGGTGGGTTTCTTTTTTCTTTTTCTTATTTTTATTTCAGAAGAATGATTAGAGACAAGGGTAATGAGGCTGCATGAAATGACCTTTGCATAGTCAGTTTGAAGCATAAGAGCACTGGTGAGGTTTTTATCAAAAGTAATGAATTCCTGTTATGCCAATGAATATTTCTTCTAACAGTGGAAAGAAATTTAGACTGTGACAAGTGGTGAAGGAGCAAAAGTGTGTCAAGTAAGCAAAACTTGCTGCTCATTTTAGCCAGAAAGCCACAGTTTGTATAGGTAAAACTTGGAGGTCAGCAGTGAATGTTTATACTGAAGTGAATATTACAGATTTGGTAAAGTTGCATGTGGGCCAGGTGCAGTGGCTCACACCTATAATCCCAGCACTTTGGGAGGCTGAGGCAGGAGGATCGCTTGAGTCTAGGAGTTCAAGACCAGTTTGGGCAACATGGTGAAACCCCATCTCTACAAAAAAATACAAAAGGGTTGGCACTTGCCTGTAGTCCCAGCTGCTTGTGAGGCTGAGGTGGGAGGAGGATCACTTGAGCCAAGGAGGTTGAGGCTGCAGTGAGCCATAATCACACCACTGCTCCCCAACCTGGGCGACAGAGCAAGACCCCTCAGAAAAAAAAAAAAAAGTTGCACATACGAACAATTATTCCTGTTTTTCCATTGTACCTTTACCAAAGCTTTAGAAGATACATCTCTCAGCAGTAAGGTTATTTTTTCTGAAACCATAAAGTGTTAATTTGTGGAAATCTCTCCCAGTCGCCTTTCATATATCTTACTTATTTAAACTCACTTTGATGGTATTGGAAACACATTTGCAGGTAAATTACATACATAGTCCTTTTATTGGATATTGATTGTACTGCCTTGCATTCCAAGGCAGACTTAATTCAACAATTCCCTAATTAGTTAAAGTCATAACCTATGTCTTGTATTCATTTACCATTAATTAAACCTTAGCTGTTTATTACACTGCAGTCCAAATCCAATAGCCGACCCAGAAAGCCATGGAAAAGGAAGTAGGAGGTCAATATTGAAAATATATGGTGCCGAGTCCCACTGATGGTTGCTTTGTTCACAATCAATATGGTCAATGCAACTGTACTTTCTTAGTTGCTCTGTCAGCAACACAAAAAGTCAATTCTAATGTTATGCTAGTGAAAAAATGGTGATTATTGAAAAACTTTGGCTTTCAAAATTATATTCTTTGTAAACTTTGTTTATAAAAGTATTTTCAAATATGCTAAACCAAACAATTTTTAAACAGTTTTGAAAGGACCACATTTTTACTAAAAGACAATTAGATATTTGCACTTCTTAATGGTTGTTGAACTGTTACCCTAAACTGATGCCTTCTAACAAGTTTTAGTTGGTGAAGACAACTGTATATTATTGCCTTTTCTATTAAAAGGACCATTGACCATGTAATGTAGAGGGTCTTGATCATTTTGCAGGGCATTAAAACCCATACTAGCTTAAGGTAGGCCAATGCAAAAGTAAAACAAGTATAACTTCTTCCTTTCAGAAAGATTCATAGGCTTGATTTTCTGAAACGGAAATTATCTTTTATATTCCTGATCAAAGTAAAAGAAATGACTACATTTTTTTTCAAGTATAGTTTGGTTAGAAAAGTAATAATCAGTAAGAAATTTTGTAGTGTTGTGTGATTTTTCAGTATTCATATTGTTAATAAATTAGTGAGAATTTAAAGATAATATGGGACGTATCTTACATTAAGAAATGAGAATTAAATGCTCAAGAAATGTAAGAATTAAATATTTTATTCTGTTACACCTAATAGAATTTTTAGAAACAGTAAGTACTTTTTTGATAATGGTATAACTGGAAATTCATCATACAGGTTCTTAAGCATTGGCCCAGTTATATTAATAATGATACCAACTTATGTTTGAGTCATTTATTTCAACTGGTAGCTCTAAACTGCTCTGATCTAGTTTTGAGTAGTGGAATTGCTAAGAAATCACTGTGATTGTGGAAAGAGAAGTAGAGTTTTTTTGTGTTGGTATGGTCAGTGTTTGGACTGTGGTAAATCTGAAAGACCTATTCAATTAATTTCATTGTTTAGGGTGTCGTTTTCATTGTGTTGTCTTCTTGAAAGATTTGAACACATTTTTATTTTTTAGTCTACTTATATTTTTTATTCTAAAATCTTAATACATGTTGAATATGTTGGTAAGATTTCACCACCCTCGGTCTTTGGGGAGAAGACTGAACTGAGAATGATCACAGAATGATCACAGAAAGATGGTGTTACATCCCTGGGGGAGGTATATTCAGGGAAGAACCTACATTAAATATTTTTGGGATTTGCTGAAAAGTTATATGATAGAATGAACATTCATTTTTATCAAAGGTTTTACCAGATTCTTATAAAATAGTAGATTTCCTTAATGCATTTTAAATAGGATTTACACTAAAATTCTAGGCATATTGATATATATATATGTAGATACAGATATAAATATAGATATACACATTACATATATATGCACATATGTACACATATATACACACATATATAGATATATACACCCACATATATATTTGCTGACATTTTAATGTGAAGTTTTAGTCTGGGATATAAAATGGAATGTATGACATCCTCAAATGTCTGAATACTGTTCACTCCTATGTTTTACATTTAATTTTCCAAAGCAAAACATTTCAGTTGAGGATTTTATTAGAAAATAAATAATCATTTAGCCATATCTAGAAACCAGAATAAACAATGCCATAAAGCCTATAGGAAAATGCAGGTCAGATTCATAAATATTCATGTGTTTACTTTCAGTACAGCCACTATGTAATCTCAGAAAAATCTTTTTTTCAGTCCAACTATGAGATCAAATACTGAGGAAAAATAGTGCAAAATAAAGTACAAAAAGCAAAAAAAAAAAAGTCACTAGGATATAGAACTTCTAGGTGCCAGAGCATTTGCCAAGTGTCAGGTCTATTTCTTGGTCAGGCCAAGAGACCTGAAGAGAAATACTCAAGCTTCAATGTAAAACTGACTTATGAGTTAGCCACTCAATAGAGACTGCTATTAGCCTGATCAGACTGTCTGTTCTGTGCTACTTTTTGTAGCAGGTTATTTAAAAACTCAAGCTAAATCTCATTTTTCTATGGATTGAGTTTTTATAATGAAGGAACTTGTATAAGCTGCCATTCAGTCATTACATCTAAGCATTTTCTAATTCAAATTTACATAAAAGGAGAGTAGTTGAAAGGGAAAAAAATTAGCTATTATGTTATTACCAAAAGATATGCATGGAGATGTATCGTGATGGATGGACAGATGGATGAATGGATGGATAACTATTCCTAGAACTCCTGTACATCTGCATATCTGTATGTTTTTTTAAAAATTGTGTTTATTCTTCCAAACTCAATTCTCTTGTGTGACCTACAGGTATTTTGTAAGTGGCTAAAGTGCATCATTTAGTATAAAATTAGAGTAATATATGTTGGGCTTATTTCTTCTATAATTTTTTTATTCTTTATAAAAACTAACATGTATAAACACTGACATATTTTGGGCTTATTGTCTGATAATTAAAGAGAATTATATTTGTGTCAAA
Source organism: Homo sapiens (assembly GCF_000001405.40). Taxonomy (NCBI): domain Eukaryota; kingdom Metazoa; phylum Chordata; class Mammalia; order Primates; family Hominidae; genus Homo; species Homo sapiens. Next base: position 58,126,838 of record NC_000002.12, read on the forward strand.
TATAGTATTTTAAAATTGGTTACATTCTTAGTAATGTTAAAAAGCAATATTTGAATCAATGTGTGGTATAGATTTTTGTAGATTTTTCTACTCACTGAGGCATGCAGTCAATACCTAATTTCTCTAGAGATATACTGCATTTAACATATTGAGCTTTTTTAAATACTTCAGACCTGTGCATTGAGTCTGTAATACCTATCTTAATTTGACATCTTTGATGACCATAAAATATGATATCTAAATTGTATTTTAAATGTCCATTTATCTAATATGTTTAGTATCAAAGAAATAAATATATTGCATACTTTTTTTTAATTTTTGCCAATTGCTACGGTATGTGAAATCCAAGTCTTGTGTTATTTCTTTCATGGTTTCATTTCACTCTAATCTAGCACTCCAACTTACAAAATATATGTGAAATAAACTGAGAATGTATTTTCGTGCTACCAAACTTGGGGAAATGACATGGTTTACGCAATACTTATGTCTTGGCCTTTTGATTGGGTTAAGAATACTTACATTGGCCAAGTCTAAGATACATTTGCTCTATTGAATGACTTTTCCTAAGTTTCACACACACAAAACTAGGGCTTAATTTAAAAGGTACTGAAAAAATAAGAGAGGCCTGGGTTTAATATTTTATCTGAAATATGACACATTGCATCCTAATATTTCCTGATATCCTTTTTGAAATTGCAGTAAGTCATGGTCACCATAAAATATTCTGGATCTTTATACATCAGAATTGACAAAATACTGAATTACATAGGTTACCAGTTGGAAAACTAAGAATAGACTTTAAATTTGTTCTGCAGATAGTCACCATTCACTTTGTCAGGTGAACATCTTATTCAGATGTTTTCTGCTTTCTTATTGTCTTTCTGAGCACACATATTAATATTTTGGGCATTTGAACTCTGCTTGATGCAGAAATTTTCAAGTTCACTTCATTATTTCCTACCGAACCCTGTTTTTCTTCATACTCCATAATGTTACTCGGTATAAGAAATAAACAGAAAACACTTTAGGCAAACAGGGAGATAAATCTTGGAATTAATACTTAGACTTTTCTTTTTCTCCCAATTCCTCTTTCAGTCCATTTGGTGAATTGGGCTAGTTAATTTTATTCCAGTTTGTCTTTAAACCAAGGACTAGTTCGCTAAGATAACTTATCTGTTGTTCTTATACCAGTTTAGAAGGACCGTTTGTCACTTTATAATTAAATATTTTAACTAAAGATCCTTCTTTATTGGAATGAAATAACTTGAAAGAAATAGTTTCATGAAAGGATAGTAACATGAAAAATTTGGTCAGTGCTGCAGCTTAGATATCCAGATCTTCCACTCATTTATTCCTTGCCAAAACAACTATTTTTGTGTCAGTATGTCTTGGTGCTTTAAGTTTAAATGCCTGCTTCAAATACCTTCCTCACTATGGAAGTCCTGTGTGTAATGTTGTTTGAATGGTATTAAAACTAATGATGGAGGCAAAGTAATTATTATTTTTTTTTCTGAGATGGAGTCTCGCTCTGTTGTCCAGGCTGGAGGACAGTGGTGCTATCTCGGCTCACCACAACCTCCACTTCCTGGGTTCAAGCAATTCTCCTGCCTCTGCCTCCTGAGTAGCTGGGATTACAGGTGTGTGCCACAAAGCCCCGCTAATTTTTGTATTTTTAGTAGAGATGGGGTTTCGCCATGTTGGCCGGGCTGGTCTTAAACTCTTGACCTCAGGTGATCTGCCCACCTCAGCCTCCCAAAGTACTGGGATTACAGGTATGAGCCACCGCGCCTGGCAACAAAGTAATTGCAAGATTGAGCACGGGCTTTGGTTTTTGAAAGACTTGGATTTCAGTGCTGAGCTCTATTAATTTTTGCTCTGTGATATTGACCAAATTATTTAACCTCTCTGAGACTCCATATTGTTACTTGTCAATAGGGCTAATACTTACTTTAAATTGTTTGAAAGATGAGATGAAATAATAAAAAGCAGGTAGAGTGCCAGGCATAGTAGCGGCTCTCCATAAATCACATCAATTGTTTTTATTTTAATTATGCGTTCTACTATCAGCCATTTCTAAAATTTTCTTTCTAGTTAAATAGAATTTAAATCCTCACCTGTGCCTATTTCTTTCTAATTGTTTTTACTTTGGCAATACTTTATAATTTAGAAATGTAGAACATTTGAGAATACCACAGGCTTTCAACAAAAAGAGTGATGTATATTACTGCATATTGGTAAGCTCAATATAAGTTAGATGCTATTAATAATATTTAGAAACTAACTTGAGAAAGTTTAGAAATCTAAACTAAATCTCATTACAGTTCCAAGCAATAATAAGTAAACACTTCATTTTAGGACATCTGCATGAAAATATACTGTCCATAATTACATTAATTACCAAATGCCACTGAAGAACCCTATGTATTACAATAAATTGTGCAAATACATGACTCAGAAACAAAACAGTGCATAATGTATTTTCTATTCAAATGAATGAAAATATATTAAAAAGAAATACATTGCACAGTATCATCTGATTTTAGAGCTGAAAATGTAAAATATTAGTGGCAGGGATAGAATTGGATCTCATTCCTAGTCCAGAGCTCTATTTACTGCTTCACTTAATATGTTTTAAAATGAATTTGAAAATTGTATAATTAAAGAAGCAACTTTCAAATTAAAAAAAAATTTTTATAGTTAGACATTAATAGTCTCAGACTATAATCAATTCTTTGTGTAAACTATACATGCATACATAGATTTTAATATTGTCATCTAGAACATTTGTTTTTAATTAATTTAACAGGTATTAAAATTACTCCTCTGTGTACAGTAGATGGAAAGAAGACAATCATTGGCAAAGTCTAAGATTTTAACTTCACTAAACATTCAAACTTTTCAATTTGCTTTTCTGAGAGGGAATTTCAGGTAGAGGTATGTAGTCAGAAACATTTTTAGTCACTCTTCAGTGTGGGGAAAGGAAAGGGTGACTATTGGGTGTTCTTTTTATCACTGCATGCATTTATGCAGGACTTATCAGAAACAGTGGCAAAACATTCACCTAACGGTAGTTATTAATACCGATGTGCAAAAAAGAAAATAAAAGATTGAAAAATGTGATAATGTATTTTAATTAGGTAAGACCAAACTATAATAGTGAAGTAAAGTTAACTCTCAAAGGGCTATTTCAAATGAAGACCAGTTTATGAAAGATTGGCTTCAGAAATCTAAATGACTTGTCATTACTTACAGCTTCATATCAATTAATCCCTCAATTGGGGGGTAGGGGGAAATGGCTAGGAAGGTTCAATCTATTTTAATTCTGATTATTTTTCCTCAAAGGGCCTCTTGTGTGTAGCTTATATCATCCAAACACTGTGCCAGAATATCATTTTTTGAAAATTAGAGGATATGAGATTTTTTAAGTGATGGTAATCAGGAATTGCCATAATAGAAAGGAGACTTGTGAACACATCTGTACAAGTGGAACCATTCCATTATTAATGGGAGATTTATTACTGAAGAAATCACTACAGAACACTGTGGTAGAGATTGTGTTTTTATTTTAATATGAGAGCCAAGTCTTGCATTAGGACATTGTTGAAGCTTGTGCAGAAAGTAAATGGCACCCATGGGACTGTAGCATTCTGCTAGATTGAAGGGCCTTTAATAATCCAATACGCTAATAGCAGTTAGAGTGTAAGAGCTAATCATGTCTTCTGCTTTTATAATAACTTATACATGGTAACCAAAAGTAGTTACGATGTGTTGGCATCATTGTTCTTAGTAGATGACTTTTTAAATTAAAAACTAAGTTCACTGAGTAACTTTTCAGAGTTTATTTCATGAAAGATAATAAAATAGGATACCTGTTTATAGCAGGTTTAACAGCCACTTACTGCTCTTAGGAGATTATATATCCCTACACAGATGAACATTCGAGTAATGACAGAAATGTAAATACCAGCCTATTGTTTTATAACAATTTTGAATGACTACAAAAATGAGTTTATTTTACGGGTATTTGCTGATGTTTTAATAATTATTTCAGTGGTTTGTTAATATGTATCAGTTATATTTCATACATTTCCTAGGTTTCATTGTCCATCTTCTTATATAAGGTACTTATAAATATATATAAATTATGAAATTAGACTACAGCATTTAATAGGTTGATATAAAATGATACAAGGGCCTGAAAATGTGCTTTTAACGTACTTTTTAGGAAAAGGCATCTTATTCTAAATTTTGAAGGCCTCTATTTGGCTCTCCCCCCAGCCTCTGATACCATTGCCTCCGTTTTATATAGATATGGGACCAGAATTTTAGCCTGCTGCTGCTTATATCTAAAAATAATATTTGTAAAATTATCCAAAGCAGTAGATATATTTTTATTGTATTTTCATGTGATTGAAAAATCTTCAGAAAGACCCTTTTTTTAATACTGCACACTAGATGGCAGTTTTGTCATATTCTTCCAACTTCAAATGCTGCTAGTGTGAGTGGAACAGGAAAGGCCATCAATGTTTAGTCTGCACTCAGAGGGTCTCTGCATGACCAATGCAGACCCTATGGACTTCCTGGAACATATGTTAGTAATTTAGCTGCAGACATTTATTTCTTTGTTTTACTGCTTGGCTCTTTGAGAAAGTGTTGGTGCTGGGTTATGGGTTGTCTGGATCATGTCAGAGGCCATGGGGATCAAGTTCATGTGACAGGCCAGACTAAGGAAAGATGAAGTTGGAGGAGGTGAGGAAACTGACCCTTACTTTCAACAGCAACCAGTCACTGCCTGTCTGTGGACTGGGGCCAAATGCTTGGGCGTTTAAGTTTTATTCCAGCTGAACAAATAAAACATTTTGCCTATTTGGCTTTTTCATATTTCATCAGTAGTAGTTCAACCAAAGATTTCTCCATTTCTCAAGGACTTGCTTATCCCTTATCTTTCTCTCTAATGCTTACTCCTATAGCCTTGTCCAGACGAAGTGACGTTGAGATCCTCGGCTACTGCATGCTGCGGTGGTTGTGTGGGAAACTTCCCTGGGAACAGAACCTGAAGGACCCTGTGGCTGTGCAGACTGCTAAAACAAAGTACAAATTTTCAAGTATTTCATCATGTACTGCACCAGGTCTGAAGGGATACATTAAAGGGAGCTAACAACACAGAGAAGATTGGCATTCACCCAACATGACAACCAAAGCAAATTTCTTTAGTTTGAAAAATATGTTTTAAAAAAACCAAACAACTAACACATAAAATCCATTAAGGTAACATTGTAAAAAGACATGTATTTGAATTACAGTGCAAAATATAAAGTGAAATATCTGTTCTTTTACATGGTATTTCCAAAGCTTAGATTCTAGGTGGTAGTGTTTTCAAGGAAGAATATTTTCAAATTAGCATTGTACAAGTATGTTGAAGTAGTCTGAGCTTGGTACGATTGATATTAACTGTGTAAAACAGCACTATGAAATGGGACAAATAGGGCTTATATTTTTCAAGTGAGAGCAACATACCTCTTATTTCTGTCTTGGAGGAAGTATGTTTTCTTTCTTAAGAAACAAAATTTTTACATGAGCTATTTATATGAGATAATCTTGTAGCCACATAAACATTTTTAATATTCTACATTCAGTTTTTATTACCTGGATTCGGCTAGCATAAAAATTAGGTCAGACTAAGAACAGGGTGTGTTACTGTTTTACAATTCTCTCACTGATCAGGCCTAAGAAAAAGTCAATTGCATAGAGCACAGAATAGCCAGTTTTTCATTATATACCAAGATATGCTCAACAGTAGTTATCCACAGGTAGCAAAAGCAGCAGCTAAGCTAAGTTTTAAGTAGGAAAATCACAACAGAAGAGTACAAAGCCAGGGGAAAATTAGCTGATTCATAGAAATCTATCTTTAAATTCAGTGTGGCATCAGTTCTTAATACTGAGAAAGATTAGCCTGCAGATTCAGAAAAATACATATTACATTTGTAAATACTGACATATATGAAACATTTCTCCACTCAGAATTTTGATCATCCTAGTCCCTTACCCAAAACTAAAACATTTATATAAATCTATATTAGAACTAAATCAGTTATTTACTGCAGTGATTGATGTGTCCATATTAACTTTCATGTAACATTTCGAAATATGGGTCAAGTCAAAACACAGTGATGTATAAACAGTTTTTGTATTTAATTTTCCAACTAGTTTACCTAATTAGAATACTGTAATAAAGTAATGATGCTATTTTAAAAAACTAACATTTTAATTCTAATGATTATATATTTGTTTTTTGATAAGACTAATATGACTTGCTTTAACTTTTTATCAATATGCATATACAGATACATTCATTATAGGTATCTATAATGAATATACCTGCTTATGCATATTTATAATAGGATGTCATATAAAATTATTATTTTACATGTATAATGCTAATAAATCAAGCATAACTTCTATTTACATTTTGGGGACTCTTACATATGTTAATATCTTCATTTTGACTTGATTAATAATGTAAACCTATAGACTAGTAAAGCCAATATCATATTATGAAGTTTATAATTCAGATAAACCATAGACATTTTCAAACTTATTATAGTACATAATACATAATCATAATTTATTCAACTTGCTGAGAAGGTATGACACTGAAATTCCCCATAAGGGTGTGATTGTATATTCAGCCAAGACACTGTATCTCCCTTATGCCTTTTATTTTCCTGACATAGCATGCTGCTGGATCAATGTGTGTATTGTTGCTACTCTGCCTATGCCAGAGGTGGTGACTCACTCACACATATAAATAATTTTAGTTGAATGTTTTTATAGGTTGTGTATTCCTTACTTGAAAGGCTTGGGACCAGAAGTGTTGCAGATTTCAGATATTTTTAGATTTTGGAATATTTGCATTATACTTACCAGTTGAGCATCCCACAAACCTGTTTAATCATGGGACAGCATAAAATATTGCCCAGTGGAGAACAATGCACATATATACTTAGATACAATGTTTGCGTGAATTTTTTATTGTTGTTTTTGAGAAAAAAAATCATGGTAAATATTACTACTTCTGTGTTTCTGCATACATAAACTTTGAGTTAAAGCATTTATATTATAATTCCTGTAATTCCATCTTGTTTAGTATTGGGGCCCAGAGAGCAATACCCCAAAGTGTGATGCTTTGGCATGCTGAGACCTTTGAACTGAAAGAGACTGGATGGCCCCAGAAGCCACCTCAGAAGCCAAGTCTCACTCTGACCTTCTCCTGCCCTCTTGTTTCCCATCCCTTCTCCTCCCAAGAAGAGAGTCATAGAAACCAGAATTCCTCTTCCCCAAAGCGGGTTATAGAAACTAGAACCCCTGTACCCCAAGCAAGGCATTAAACTTAGGAAGGTCACCCTCTCCCTTCTCCCTTTAAGACCCTCATTCCAAAGGGGTCCTGCCCCATCCCCAGGAGGAATAAATGCTACATACATCAAGAATATGGGGCCGGGCGCGGTGGCTCACGCCTGTAATCCCAGCACTTTGGGAGGCCGAGGCGGGTGGATCATGAGGTCAGGAGATCGAGACCATCCTGGCTAACAAGGTGAAACCCCGTCTCTACTAAAAATACAAAAAATTAGCCGGGCGCGGTGGCGGGCGCCTGTAGTCCCAGCTACTCGGGAGGCTGAGGCAGGAGAATGGCGTGAACCCGGGAAGCGGAGCTTGCAGTGAGCCGAGATTGCGCCACTGCAGTCCGCAGTCCGGCCTGGGCGACAGAGCGAGACTCCGTCTCAAAAAAAAAAAAAAAAAAAAGAATATGGACAGGCTTTGCTGGATCCCCCCGCCCCAGTTCAGTACCATTAGAACATACCCTTTTGTCCAGTCACATTCCTACACAGCTGTCTATTCTTCATCAAACCTAAGCATAAAGATAGACTTCCTTGGGTCTTTGGTCTTCATTTCTCAAGTCGTGTCATATAAAACTTTAATTAAATAAATTTGTTATACTTTCTCCTGTTAACTGGTCTTTTGTTATAGGAATGTTGGCTGCAACCCTTATGGTGGGTGAGAAAAGAGATCACACCTTTCTGCCCCTACGTTAGTCTAGGTTATTGATATAAAATTAGTTTGTGGGCATTGAGGGTTCTCCTCTACTTCTGCTTACTTTCCTATCCATTATAGTTGGGTGACAAAAAAAAAAGCATTGAAAGTCACAATTTTGGTGACCTACCAACACATAGAGTGTTTTGTTTTCTAGTCAAAATAATCACAGGGTTGAAAACATGTTCATTGTGCATTACCTTATTTTGTTTTAGTCTGTTGGACGAGCTCCCCCAGTCAGTGCTTAAATGGGCTCCTTCTGGAAGCAGTTGCTGTAAGTCAAATAATAACTTCAACCTTCTCTTACGATTTACAGGTTGCCACATTTGTCGTTATCGTTTGGTAGCTTTTGCTTAACCCACTTGCTCCTATTCCCATCAGGGTGGGAAGGAGGGAACTCTTCATGTTGCAAATAAGTTGCTAAAGAACACAATGTTTAAATCATCTTTAACATTAGAACACAAAAAACCTCAAAAGAAGATATTGAGGTGGAAAATTCTAGGTTCTGCTTAGTGCTTTTTTTTTTTTTTTTAAGATCTCTATTTTGAGAATCATGCACAGGCTTAATAGTCAACCGTATCTGGTATTTCTAGAGTTAAGACTTCCTGGTTTTGTTCCTCTATATATTGTTGAAAGAAGATAAAGTTGACCTAAGGAAAAACTACTTTTCATCAGTCATTTAAAAAACCAAATCAGTAAACACTGAATGCTGTTTAGACCAGAATTATGCTGACTGAACTGCCAGCAAAAAAAAATTTTTATTAGCAAAGGCATATGATTTTGGGATTTGGAGGTATATTTCATATTTTCAAGTTAGTATACAATGGAATTTTTAATTGACAATGTTATCAATACATATTGTATAAAATAGCACGTCAACTAGTAATTACCCACATTCCTGTCATTTTATGTGCATACACAACATGTTATTCAACACTAATTTAACAATTGAGTTAGACTGTCTTATACGAAAAAGCCAGTGCCCACTATCAGTCTTGCTTTTTTTCAGAGACAGATAATCAGAGTGAATCTTGTTTTCTGTTTACACTGGACAATCTCAAAGTTAGCTTTGAGCTGACTTCTGAAAGTAGATATGTACACTGACCTCTCTAGCTAAGGTCTAATAGCATCTGTTTCCATCTGGTTGAGAATTAGAGAGTTAAGTCATCTTAAACTTACATTCACAGCCTTTCTTTCACTGGAAACCAAAATTTTCATTTGTGGAGGAAAGGAAAGAATAAGCCAGTTCTACTTCCCCTCTCCATTTGCAAGTCCAATAAGCCTATCCCCACATGAGTCTTTTGTTTTCCCCTTTCTCTAGTACTTTTCATCGGATTGAGGGAGCCACACAGGAGAGATCCTCATTGTGGGAATGGGTTGCAAGATGAAATTTTTGTTTTCATAATTGTCAATAACTTGGTCAAAATGGCAGTACTCCTTTATGGCTAATATTCTTAATGGCATTTTTTTTTTTTTTGAGACAGAGTCTCGCTCTGTCACCCAGGCTGGAGTGCAGTGGCACGATCTCGGCTCAGTGCAACCTCCCCTTCCTAGGTTCAAGCGATTCTTCTGCCTCAGCTTCCCAAGTAGCTGTGACTACAGACACGTGCCACGATGCCCAGCTACTTTTTGTATTTTTAGTAGAGACAGGGTTTCACCATATTGGCCAGGCCTGGTCTCAAACTCCTGACCTCGTGATCCCCCCCACCTTGCCCTCCCAAAGTGCTGGGATTACAGGTGTGGGCCACTGCGCCTGGCCCTTATTGGCACTTTTACCAAGTTGTATAGTTCATCTTTTAATCAACTGGACAGAAAGATGGGAAGATGTCATTAACATATATATATATCATATATATGTGTATATATATCATATATATGTGTATATATATCATATATGTGTGTATATATATCATATATATTATATCATATATATGTGTATATATATCATATATTATATCATATATATGTGTATATATATCATATATATATCATATATGTGTATATATCATATATATTATATATCATATATGTGTATATATATCATATATTATATATCATATATATGTGTATATATCATATATATTATATATATCTCATATGTGTATATATATCATATATAATATATATGTGTATATATCATATATCATATATAACATATATATGTGTATATATCATATATATAACATATATCATATATGTGTATATATCATATATCATATATATCATGTGTTTATATATATCATATATCATATATATCATATATGATACATATATATCTCATATATGATACATATATATCATATGATACATATATATCATATATATGATATATATGATATATATGTGTTTGTATATATATCTCTTACCTTTCTTGTCAATCCTGCAGAAAAAGGAACTGTTCAGTTTAGGGTAAGAAAGCCCAGATGCCCTGAATTGTACAAGACAAATGCTTGTGGGCAGTGTATATTATGTCATACTCTATTGTTAAAGATTTGAGTCAGATGAGTAATCTAGATGGGAGACAAGCCCAGTTTTTGTTTCTTAGCACAAACCATTTTATTGAATCCATACTATTATTTATAAAATGCAGATTTCTGTTTCTAAAGCAAAAAGTGTTGAAACTTTAATATTACATGAAGGTCTCTTAAATTAGGAGGTTGTGCTTAGGAAGAACACAACCATGAAAATGAAGGAACTGATTTACAAAAGTTTATTACCGAAACATTTTATGAAATAAAACAGCCAGAAGTTTGCAGCATACATGTCCAACTAAGCATAATAATAATAGTTTCAAAAGTTTCTATCTCTTGATAGTAATGATACTTAATACTTCACTGGCTTAAAAAGCAGATGATTAAAAAAATCATAATTTCATACTAAAGGCATTTTGCTTTATAGTTCTGGCAATATGCTAGTAAATTTTAAAATGTACTTAATAAATCCAGATCTTGAAAGACTAACATTTAAACCAGTATTACATCACAATATCTACGCTTCAGGTTTGTAATAATAAATTTATAATGGAAATGGCTCTTTTTATTTTCTCCCCCTCCTACCTCACTGGTACCTCATTTTTCCAAACCCCAGTCCCATGAAGGCTTTGCAGCACAGCTGCTATCAGTTGGTGGAGTGCCAGGAGTTTTCCATTGTCTTGTAACAGTGATTTGTTCCCAGCACATTCAACTCTCTTCCTCATTTTGGATATTCTGGTTAATGGAATTGTAATATGTACCAAACTTGGCTTACCAATCTTCACAGGACCATAAAACAAAAATATTTATATTAAAATAGTAGTGAATGTAATTTAATTTTTTAATCATCCCTTTAGAAATTGGATACCCCCGAGCCCTTGTGAAGGGGCTGCATGAAGCATCAGTTATAAATATGGTGATAAAATAGCAGCACTTGCTAGTTAACAGAGATCTGGTTGACCGAATGCTAGATAACAGAATTTGATAAAAATAGATGAAAAAAACAGGTTGCATAATTGCTACAGTGTCAAGGAAGAAAAGCCCAGAACCAAGAGTTTACATTTTAACCACGTTAGCTTCATGTTCCCAGGAAATAGCTCTGTACTATATGGTGAAAGTGGTCACTCTTAACTTTAATAGGGGGAAAGCGATGATGACTATTCCTTTTGAAATTTTTCTCTATAGGGAGTGAAACCCAGTGCCTCTGCAGTTTTCCTTTCTTTTGAGTGGAGGTAGGCCTAGAGGGGAAGTGAAGGATTAGGAAGTCACTCCTGCCAACGCATGAAGTTTCCCAGGTTTTCCCACCATGGATATAAGCAACTAAGTGAGAAAGTAAGAAGTACTTGAGTTTGAGTCAGTAATATATTTTTGAAAGGGAAAGGCATATCTAAACATCTCTGTGAACAAATGAAAACATGCCAGTTTTTAAATAGTATTTGGTATTATCACCACTTCTATTCCAATTTTAGGTTGAACCTCAACATGAAACAGAAATGCAAGCTACAAATATTTTAATGCAGTGATGTTTGTAACTGTTGGTTACTAATTCTGTTTGTATTTAAAAGTTGGTAGTTCCTAACCTTTTTGGGGAAAGGGGGTTTACTATGTAGTTCTAGGGGAACATTTCTTTACACTAGAGAAAAAATAAAAGATGGCAACTCCTCCTCCCACTGCTCTAAAATCAAAAACACGAGGCTGTGTACCAGGCTAGCTAGGTATGGAGGACATGAGGGAGGTTTCATACATTCTAAATTCAATCTTAGCTAACAACATGGAATTCAAGGTCCTTTCTAAATATACGGTTATAATCCCAAAATCAAAGCCTTAATTAAAATTTGCAGTTTTTTTCCTTAGAAATAAAGAGGTTTATAATAAGTAACACTTTAACTGAATTTTTAGAAGTTCAGCATAAAGTGTGAAGTATGGTCAGTTGTATTATTTATGTAGTCCTTAATAGTTGCACCTCATAAATCAAAATCACTATAATTATTACAATATACTTCCTCTCATAAGATCAGTGAATTATAAGCGTATCAACAAAAATATGTTAAAAACATTACTAGTTTGTCTCATCAATTCTGTAGGTCACTATATTTCAGTCATTTTTGAATATCATTTAAAAAGTTATTTTCATTGAATTGTTCATTTTTAGTTTCTTCAGGAGATGTAAATGTGTAAAAGACAAAGATAACAAAGATTTTGAGATTACTGGAGTCTTGACAATTCTTGCCAATTGTGAATGACATGTAAAAAATTTAATAATTCACAGGTGAAATAGCCCAATTTTTGGTATGTGCTCATAGTTTAGCATATGATGAAAAGCCAAACTATCAAGCCCTCAAGAAAATTTTGAACCCTCATGGAATACCTTTAGGACCACTGGACTTTTCCACAAAAGGACAGAGTATAAATGTCCATACTCCAAACAGTCAAAAAGTAAGTAACATAATCCCTGCTATCCTATGATTACCTTCTATGATACTTTTCTATCGAATGAAATTGTTTTAGGTCTCAAAATGAGTCTGACAGCTTTCTTCTTCCTTATATTTAACTCCCATTTTGCCTAACTCAGCACCAAGAAAGTTTGTTCCAAGTTCTTTTGACCTGTTGTCTCACAGAGAAAAATAGGATCTGTGGCCTACTATGTACTATGAAAGAAAGCAGTCACTACTGTCATAGAGATGTGACTAGGGTAAAGGCTAATCTGATGTTACTCATGAGAAAGCCATCATTTGCTTCTTTTCTCCAGGTTTTCTTTAGATATTGCCCTGTGTTTTTGCCTACCAATTTGGCCATAATTTGGTGATAACAGTCTTCGATTTAACCAGGTTATTTGTATGTGCTGATATTTCAATCCATGGAAACAGTTCTTTACAGAAAATAAAAGAGTTTATGCCAGAGATCTAGGTTAAAAAAAATCATTTTTTAAAAGTTACACCTCTTCTTTTAGTCTGCCATCTTCCCAAAGACCAACACCAACTTAAAAAAAAAATTAAGATTTCGAGCATTTTTAAGCGGGTGGTGGAAATCTTAGACTGCCGTTATTAGCAAGAATAGTGGACAGGCAACTCAGCATCCATGTCTTCCTTGACCACTATCCGTATGCACAAATAGAGTGTGGAGGGCATTTTTTTCCTGATGCATGTACAGTAAGATAGGGTCAGGATGCTATTCATTTTTAATATTTCTTATGAACTTTGGATCATCACACGTGTTCATGAGCCAAGAATGCGGGATGCAAACTAATGTGACTGATAGGCTGCTAGATGAATGGTGAGTCAAGTATCAGTGCACAGATGGTTCTGATTTGCTGAATTTTGTAGTTGCTGCAACTGAAGACATAAAATATCCTTCTAGTCATAAATTAGCTCTTTGGAAGCAAAACCTTGGCACCAGAGCTTTACAACCTTCAATTAGTAGGAAAAGAAGTATTTGAATGACTGTGGTATTGACATCTGTAGGCCTGCATAGTAATCATTCCTAATAGAAGAGAATATCTGTTTGAGGAGGTTTTGCATGGCTAATTAACTACCAGTGAGAATATGTAATTTTTTCATGATCTCCTGATTGTCACCTTTCTCTCATGATACAATTAGATTTTATTGTAGCAAGTGCCTCACAAACCAATTGTCAGCACTATTTACGTATTGCAGAAGGCAGAACAAGAGTTCATGTTTAATAAAAAGCCACTGGATTTTGATCTTGGTAATTACTGAGACTTGTTTTAACAGTTTTATTGACTTTTGTGTTTTTATCACTTTTGCAACAAAACAAAGAGCCATTTCCTTGACGTAGTATTTTCGTTGCAATAATGGTCACCACTTAATCTATGCTAATTTAAGTAGATTTTTCCCTTTTTGTAGTTTTTCAGTTTCATAAACTTAATTGAAATATAAAAGAAGCCATTTTAAAAACTGATAGCTATATCCTCTGATATAAAATTCTGATTATTATCCACCAGAATTTTCAGTTTCATCAAATTAAAGGGTGTTTGTTGTGAAACCATTTTTATATGTAGAGAATAGAACATAAAACACTTTTTCCAATGAGCCTCCATCAAGAATATTTTATCCCTTTTGATTATTTTGATTATGAGTAAAAAAAGCACTTAAAAATAATACATGCTTTTAAGACCTACGCTAATTTCTGTTAAGAAATGTATGTGATCAGCCTGGATGTATAGACAGTAAGATGATTTGGGGATATATTTTGCAGCAGATCAATATTTATTTATTTATTATAGTATTTTAAGTGCATACATATATTTAATAATGATAGCATAAGATATGGGCTCACCATATGTGGCTAAACTTTAAGTATCTTAATTTTCAAAGTTTACAGATTTTGCAGTGCTACAAAAACCAAACCTGAAAATGTTCAAATGCAAGGTATGACAGTATAAACCGTCCTGTTCCCAGTTCCCCTGAATGATGCACGTATAGGATGATTTCCACAATAGATTGCTTCCATAACAAAAATCATTCCAAAATGCATATCAATCACATGGCTCCAAATTTCTTTTTAGTCACAGACAGAATGCTCTTATTAGTAACTAAAATCGTTTCTTGTTACTTTATAAATGGGTTTATAGTTATATGTAGTTAAGTATTTAGTTATAGAGCTGTTTAACAGAGTAGTGAATGAATTCTGGACTAATACATTTTTTGGACAAAGATATTTTAAAAGAAGACATTGGACCAGAAAAGGTATACATAAATAAATAAAATGTTACCATCATTCAGTATTCAAGGGAAAAAAGTTGTAACTGTTTACATTTTTAAATGTTATTTTGCTAATAACAAATGAAACTTATACAGAGGGAAGTAACAGTATTTTTAAGAAAAACATATTTTGATTAGGTATTAGAAGGTAGCACATTACCCTAAGAATCTCACCAAACTTACATCACCTTTTTGCAAAAGAAAAAGTTTTTTTTTTTTTTCCAATACTGGATTTTACTAGACATTATAAACTGTTCTCTGTAAACCTGGACAGAGAATTCCTCAAATATTGTTATTGGAGTTAAATTGGAAATGAATTTTTGTCAAGAGAGTAGTGATATTGATATTTTTTTCATGAAAAACAAATCTTTTGGGGTATTTGCCTGAATCAAAATGAGGGATGTAAAACTGAAGTCACTTGCTAGTAGTTCTGGGGGCTCCTGAGTTAGCACCGCCAATCAAATTAGAAGACTGTCTCATCAAGACCATCACAGTCTCTTTATGCCACCCACTAGGATTTAATTTCCAAAATTCACTGAAAGAAACAATATTTCAATAAGAATGCTTATTGAGGTGAGCTAAAGCTCTAGAATTCCCAGATAAGAATGTTAAAGCCAAGATGGAAAACAGCGTTACTAAAGGCCCCATTACGACCCTTGAATAAGCTATTTTTCAAGAACCAGAGGATCCTTTTAATCGTTTATCAATGACTCCCACCTTATTATGGTGCTTGAATCATATATACAATATACAGTAATATACTATAATATGTTAGTATATTGTAATAGTGTAGACACTTGGGCATAATGAGCCCTCCCATCCTTCCTAAATGCTTTAGCTAGGCAGAGAAGTAGCTGCAGGTCAGAGCTAAAAGGTTGTCCCTTCATTCACCTTAAATCTGAGGCTCCCATAGCATATCCAGAGTTGAATATATTATTATTGGTAGTAGTAGTATTTGTATAGAATTTAACGGTTTACAAAATTTTTTCCTAAGCTTTAAGTCTCAAAATAATTCTATGAACTTCTCTTTATTTTCTGTATATGAGGATAGTGAAATACAGATTCTTAATTAGAAGCACATTTTTGGTTTATTAATTTTTAGGAGTCCAAAGGTATTCTTGATTTTATAGAACAGTGTGAAGTTCCAATGGAAAATTAAATAAAAACTACCTCATTTTCATACCTACTTTCTTGAAAATATCACACATTTGTGTAGTATCCTTCTATTATAAGGGATGCCCAGGGTGTTTTCTGTATTTTTCTATCTTTGAGAAAAAGTTTCACTGTGTTCACTATCATCTACTTCACTCTTACAATAAAAGTTTCCTTAGAAATAAGATTTTCCATTAATTGGCTATCATTTTGTTTAGTAGCTAGAAGTGCCCACGGCAGTGCAGCCTAACCATTCAGCCAACTAAAAGCAAATCCAGGAGGCATCATCTCTTCCAGGAACTTTCACAGAGGAGTGAATATATTATACTGAATTTTGCTTATACGTCAGAGGCTCCCAGGGCAAAAACTCTTAAACCTAAAATGCCTAGCATATAGGAAGCACTAAAAACTTCAATATCTTAGCTAAAAATAAAACTGCCAGCAACCTTGCTTCTGGGTATGTATCCAAGGGAAATAAAACCAGATGTCAAAGAGGTATCTGCACTCCCATGTTCATTGCAACACTATTCACAATAATCAAGATACAGCACAACCTAAGTGTGTGTCAATGGGTGAATGGATAAAGTGTGGTCCGTAACCACAATATTATTTGTGGTTATAGAACACATTTTCTTTATCCACAAAGTGTATTTTATTCATATATATTGTGTCTGTTTGTGTATATATGTATATACATATATATGTATATATGCACACATATATACACATACATATATACATATACACATATATATATACATATATACACACACACACACAATGGAATATTATTCAGCCATAAAAAGGAAATCCTGACATTTGCAACATCATGGATGAATCTGGAGGACATTATGCTAAGTGAAATAAGCCAGACACGGGACAAATACTGTATGATCTCATTTATAGGTGGAATCTAAAAAAAATAATAAACTTATGAAAGCAGAGCATAGAACAGTATTTGTCGGGATGAGACCTGGGGAAAATGGGGAGATGCTAGTCAAAAGGTACAAACTTTCAGTTATAAGATGAATGAGTTCTGGGGATCTGATGTACAGCATGGTGACTGTAGTTAGTAATACTGTGTTGTATTCTTGAAATCTGCTAAGAGAGTAGATCTTAAGTATTCTCACACAAAGAAATGGTGACTAACGTGAGGTGATGTGTTAATAACTTGATTGTTGTATTCATTTTGCAATGTATACATGTATCAAAACATCACATTGTATACCTTATATATTTTTATTGTCAAACATATCTCAATAAAGCTGGGAGGGCAAATCTCACCCTTTATAACATGGAACACATTTTCACAAGAATTGGTAAGCCAATGTTTTAATAGGATAAAACAGTACGCAAGAACCATGGGAGACCCTTTGTTTCACACTAATGGTATCAGGTACATTTATTACCAAGATGACTTCAGCAGAAAGTGGCTCAGAAGATGGTGACATAAATTTTCCCAGTAGTTTGGGAAGGTTGAGTGGTGAAAATAAAGAATTCCTGCATGATTAAGAAACATTTCCAACTTTCAGGTTACTGAAAGGCAGTGGTTTTGAGCTGGGATCCTGGAGGAGGGTAGAATAGAGTGGTGTTGTGACAATTTAGGCTTAGCCACAAAACACCAGCATATTTTAAAGGGAAGGAGTGAACACACTTGGCGATAAAAGCTAAAAATTGAGAGACTACAAATTAAGGCTCTGCTTGCCCAGCCAATGTAATTCATTCTCTATTTTGGCACTGGCTACTTCACTATTTCCCCTTTGTGCTGTTCCTATCTTCTGCCCCCTGTTTAACTCATGAAAAAAAGGTGATGGCACTTTCAGCTGCTATAAACATGAAGCTGCTGAACAAATACTTCATATAAGGACCTTCGCTGTAGCTTTCAATCTTCCAACAGTGTTGTGGGTTCTGCCCTTCTGTTTCTGAGTCTACTTCAAGGTTATTGACAGTCAGGCATCCCCCAGATATCATCATGGTGTGAAAAAGAAACCTTAGAGACAGCAAGCTTGTTGTAGAAGAACTTAACCTCTGATACTGGTACACAGTATTCGATGACATGAACTGTTATTCATCTTGCTCAAAGGTTAAACTACCTGCACAAAAATGTAAGCAACATCACAAGCTCCTTTTATATATTCACATTAATTAGGCTCACTTCAATGATAGAAAACTAAGATTTTAATTAATAAGAATTTAAACTACAAAGATATACTGGATACACTCCCAGCAAAGGTTAATAATGAATTCATGTGCAGCTTTAAAATGTGACAATTTTCTCTAAAAATGCTGTTTTCAGTAAGCAAGTTATCTGTAGAGATAATTTCTAAGGAGTACAGTGACACTAATTTTATTTTTTATTTTATTTTTTATTATACTTTAAGTTCTAGGGTACATGTGCACAACCTGCAGGTTTATTACATATGTATATATGTGCCATGTTGGTGTGCTGCACCCGTTAACTCATCATTTACATTAGGTATTTCTCCTAATGCTATCCCTCCTCCCTTCCCCCACCCCATGACAGGCCCCAGTGTGTGATGTTCCCTACCCTGTGTCCAAGTGTTCTCTGTTCAATTCCCACGTATGAGTGAGAACATGCGGTGTTTGGTTTTCTGTCCTTGCGATAGTTTGCTCAGAATGATGGTTTCCAGCTTCATCCATGTCCCTACAAAGGACATGAACTCATCCTTTTTAATGGCTGCATAGTATTCCATGGTGTATATGTGCCACATTTTCTTAATCCAGTCTATCATTGATGCACATTTGGGTTGGTTCCAAGTCTTTGCTATTGTGAATAGTGCCGTAAGAAACATACGTGTGCATGCAGTGACACTAATTTTAATTGGTTTTGTCCCATTGATGAGAAAGGGTCTGGATCTTGCCAACGACTATAGTTTTTCTGTAATGTCCACTTGCTGCTTTCCTCTTTATTTCCTTTTTTAAAGCTTGGCAAGTTTAGAGCTTTTAAGAATCTGGACATATATGCATTTTTTAGAGAAATACCAAAAGTTTTCATTATATATTATTACTTACTCTATACCAACAGGTTGATTCACAAAAGGCTGCAACAAAGCAAGTCAACAAGGCACACAATAGGTTAATCGAAAAAAAAGTCCACAGTGAGAGAAGCGCTGAGTCCTGTGCAACATGGAAAGTGCAGAAAGAGGAGAAACTGATTGGATTGATGAACAATGAAGCAGCTCAGGTGAGAGGGTTGTTTGTGTGTGTTTTTTCTAACTTAATGTTACATTAGAATATGCCCTTTGGGAATAAAAACATCTTATTTTCTCCTGAGGGCCAAGGTTGTATGGTTTTGTTAAATGAGAAGGGACAGAAAATATCCTAGCCAGCTGATAAAATTAAAGCGGCCAGCACCAGTTATCATAGAAACAGAATAGCAGTAAGCACATTTGCGTACAGATCTGATTTCTTTATTCTAAGAATGTAATGAAGTGCACTTAAATTTCTTTTGCCATCTATGATCCATTAGGGACTCAATGTATTCTATACTTTTACATTGGTTCCTCAAGTCTCACCCTTATAATCAAATATAAGTGAAGTGTTTCCCTGTCAATGTGGTTGTATTTTAAAATGATGTATTTTTTACATCACTCAGTCATTTGGGCGGAGAGTGACTCACCTTTAGCAGATGACTCATTCAAGTAACAGCAAAAATCCTCCCTAATCTAACCTTTTTTGACAACAAGGAGAAGCATACAATGCATTTATTATCTGCAGTGAAAAAATATTTAATTTTGTCAAAATGACCAACATTTTATATGATTTATACACCATCATTT
The DNA here is from genome assembly GCF_000001405.40 of Homo sapiens. Lineage (NCBI taxonomy): Eukaryota > Metazoa > Chordata > Mammalia > Primates > Hominidae > Homo > Homo sapiens. The sequence goes on from NC_000002.12 coordinate 58,147,070, forward strand.
CCCCCAAATGATTTGAGGTAGTTTACAGTATGAAACAGGATAATTTAATACCCCACCTTGTATACCCTACCTAATCAAGAAAAATTGATATATCAGGCAGCTGGGATATTAATCACTAAACTGAGCACTGAATTTGGCTCTGAACTTCTTGACAGCCGAGGCAAAAATTAGAAGCATAGTACTTATGCATTCTTCAGCCAGCCAACAAGCCTGCAAGTTTATCCAGAGACAGAAATGCTTTTTTTAGTACTAATAGCAATCTTTTACATTCTTTCGAGTATAAAATAGTGGCATTATTTGTTGTTTCATTTTAAATTTATGTAAGGAACTACTTCACTTAGGCATATTTTAGTTCCTATTGGTAAAATTAAAGACAAATCGTGCTTGGTGACAAAACTTAGAGATTCTAAAAATCTCTAGTTGAGAGATTCTTTTTCAACCCTTACTTAAGTCCACCAAAATCACCTGGTGTACAGGGATAGGGAAGCACTGCGAAAATACTGATGCAAAGAAATTGATTCCTTTTTGGCTGTGGTGGCAATGAGATACGTATATATAGATTTTATCACTTTGGAAAGTCTTGGTTCTTTTCCCTAGTCAGTCCTCTTCCCCCAGGGAATGTTCTGCCATTTTGATTCTCATCACTAGATTAGATTTGCCTCTTCTAGAATTTCATAAACATGCAGTCATATAGTATGCATTCATTTGGGCCTGGCTTCTTTCACTCAGTGTTTTTTTTTTTTTTTTGAGATTTATCCATGTTCATGCATGTATTAGTAATTTGTTTTTTCCATTGCTGAACAGCACTCCATTGTATAACTATATCATAGTTCACATGTCCATTGTGTAACTACATCATAATTCACAAGGCCATTCTCCTATTAATGGACATTTGGGCTACTACTCATTTCTGGCCACCATGAATATAGTTGCTACAAACATTCTGGCACAAATCCTTCAATGGACATGTTTCATTTCTCCTGAGATGTAGAATTGCTGGGTCGTAGGGCAGGTGTATGTTCAATTTTATAAAGAGCTGACAAATAGTTCTTGAAAGTACCATTCTGTACTCCCACCAGTAATGTACAAGAGTTCTGGCCATTCCATGTCCTCCCCAATATTTGGTATTGTCACTCTTTTTAATTTTAGCCTTTCTAACATGTGTATTAGTGTATTATTGCGTTTCCAATTATTCACCTGATGTCTAATTAAGTTTGAGCACTTTCACGTTTTTACTGACCTTTCATATATCTGTTCTTACAAAGTTTCTTTGTCGAGTGTTCTAATTTTTATTTGGATATTTGTCTTTTTATTGTTAAGCCACAGGAGTCCTTATCAGATATCTGTATTATGGATATCCTCTCCTAGCATGCGGCCTGCCTAATCATTTAATTCATAGTATCTTAGGATGTGCAGAAGCTTTTTATATTATTTGTTTTTTTATTTGAAGTTCAATTTATCAATATTTTAATAGTTTTTTTGTCGTTTGTTTGTTTTTCTGTAAAGATACCTAAGAAACCTTTGCCTACCTCAAGGTCACAAAGTTATTTTGCTATATATTTCTATACAAGGCTCATGGTTTTAGCTTTCATTGTTGGTTCTATGAGCCATCTCAAATCAATTCATGTGTATTGTGTGAGGTGGAGGTTGAGGTTCTCTTTTTCATATAGTTTGCACCATCATTTATTGAAAAGATGTTCCTAATGAATTTCTTTGGAGCCCTTTTCAAAAGTCAGCTAACTGTGTGTGTGAGCCTATTTCTGGGCTCTATTTTCTTCTATTCTACTTGTCTCTCCTTACACCAACACCACACTGCATCAATTACTGTCGCTTTACAGCAAGTTCTGAAATTAGAATAGTTCTTTAATCCTTTTATTTTCTTTCAAAAATGTATTGGCCATTTTAGGTCCTAGTCTCCTCCATAAAATTTAAGAAGCAGCTTGTTAGTTTCCACCAAAAAATGCACAATGGGATATTGACTGGGAGTACATTAAGTGTAAAGATGAGTTTATGGAGAACTGGCATCCCAACAATGTCGACTCCTCCAGTGCATAAACCTGGTACTTCTCTGCATTTATGTGGAACTTCTCTGCATTTATGTGCATTTTCTTTAACTTCTCTCAACAGTGTTTTGTAGTTTTTAGTGTAGATGTCTATACATCTTCCATTAAAATTATCTCTAAATATTTTTGATCCCATTTTAAGTAGTAATTTTCAAAATTTCATATTCCAGTTATTTGTTGCTGGTATATAGAAATAGAATTTATTTTCTATTTCTATATCAGTTATATTTGATATACAATATAATCATGTGTCTTGGGATCTTTCTAAATGTACTTATTAGTTCCAATAGGTTTTATTATTTTTTAAATAGATTCTTAGGACTTTCTACATAGTTAATGATGTCTGTGAATAGAGACAGTTTTACCTCTTCCTTTCCAATATATGCCCTTTATTTATTTTTTATCGTTGTCTTATTACATCTGCTAGCAGCTCTAGTATTACGTTGAATAGAAGTTGTGACAGTGGCCATCCTTGCTTGGTTCCTGATCTTAGGGGGAATGCATTCATTCTTTCACCATTAAGTTAGCTGTTGATTTTTTCTAAATGCCCTTTATCAGGCTGAGGAAATTTCACCATATTTGTTGAAAAATAAATGTAAATAATGAATATTAAATACTGTTTTGAGATCTTTTGAGATGATCACATGATTTTTTCCCTTTACTAGTACGATGAATTACACTGATTTTTAAATGTTAAATCAACCTTTTATTTCTGGGATAAACCTCCAGTTAGGCATGATGTGTTTTCCTGCTGAATTCTGTTTGCTGAATTCCAACTCAATTCCTGCTGAATTTCAGTTCCATGGAAGGTTTTTATACCTAGACTGATGAGGGATACTGGTCTGTAATTTTCTTTTTCTTTTCTTTTTTTTTTTTTTTTTTGCAAAGTGAAAGCAAGTTTATTAAGAAAGTAAAGGAATAAAAGGATGGCTACTTCACAGAGCAGCTGTAATTTTCTTTTGTCGTAATATCCTTGTATGGTTTTGTTTTCAGGGTCATTATGAATTATACCAGTTGGAAGTGTTGCACTCTGTTTTCAGAAAATGTTTTTGTAAGATTTGCCTTTCTTAAATGTTGGATAGAATTGAGCAAGAAAACCATCGGGGCTGATAATTTGTTGTAGGAAATTTTTTAACTGCACATTTACTTTCTATAATATATAGAGTGATCATTAGATTTTTTTTCTTGGGTCAGTTTTATATTTGTATTTTTCAAAGAATTTGTCCATCTCATCTAAGTTTTCAAATTTATCAGCACTAAGTTAGGATATTCTTTATTTTCCCTTTATCATCACCAATATCTATATTGATGTCCCTCTTTCAGTTCTGATAATGGTAACTTTTGGTTTCTTTCTTTTTTTAGTAGTCTAGCTAAGGGCTTATCATTTTCATTGATCTTCTCAAAGACCAGCTTTGGTTTTTTTTTTTTAGTTTTTTTTTTTTTTCAAAGACCAACCTTTGGTTTTGTTGATTTTTTTAAAAAAACCTACCATTGATATGTTTTCTGTTTCACTAATTCTTTATCATTTGCTTGATTCTACTTATTTTGCATTTAATTTATTCTTTCAAGCTTCATAAGGTGAAAGTTTAAATCACTAATTTTTTCCTTCATTTTTTTTCTAACGTATATAGTTAAACCTATAAATATGTAAGCTGTGCTTTGGCTGTCTATTTCACAAATTTTGATGTGTTGTGTTTTCATTATTAATCAGTTCAATGTATTTTCTAATGTCCCTTGATTTATTTGACCCATGGATTATTTATTAGTATGTTATTTAATTCCTAAGTATTTTTAAGGTTTACTGGGTATCTTTTTTGTTATTGATTTCTAATTTAATTTTGCTGTCATCAGAACACATCCTGTATTATTGCAATCTTTTAAAATTCACTGAAACTTATTTTGTCACCAAGGAAAAGGCCTAGTTTAGTGAATGTTCCTTGTATACTTATGAAGTTTGGGGTTGTTTAATAGTGTTCAAATCTTATATATTCACTGTTTTATTTTGTCCTCGTTTTATCATTTAATGACAAAGGAATGTTACAATCACCAACTGTAATTGTGAATTTATCCATTTGTCTCTTCTATACATTTTTGCTTCTATACATTTTTGCTTCATAGATTTTGATGCTGTTATTAGGTATATGCAGATAGTAGTTATATGTTCTTGGTTAACTGTCCTGTTCATCATTCTGAAATATCTTTCTTTATATCTATTAAATACTCTATCTTGAGTTCTACTTCATCTGACTTTTAACAATTCCAGCCTTCCTATGATTAACATTTATACATTGTATCCATTTCCATCCTTTGTTTAATCCACTTGTGTCTTTTTATCTGTGGCTTTTGTAACTAGCATATAGTTGAGCCTCGCTATTTTATAAAATCTGGCAAACACTATCTTTTATTTGCTCCATATCTATTTCATGTAACTATATTTGCTCCATTTCCATTTGAGGTAACTATTGATATAGCTGGGTTTAATCTACCATTATGCAGTTTGCTTTCTTTTTGCCCCATTTGTTCTTTGTCCCTTTTTACCTCCCTCTTGCTTTATTTTGGACTGATTGAGAATTTTTTTTTAACTATGCTTCTATGCTTGTTTTTTTTTTTTTTTTTTTTTTTTTTTTTTTTTTTTGGTGGTCACTCTAGAGCAAGGGGTCAGTCAGCTCCATAGCCTATGGGCCAAATTCAGCCAACCACCTATTTTTGTAAATAGTTTTATTGGAACATAGCCATACTCATTCACTTACATATTGTATTTGATTGCTTTTGTTCCATAGTGGCAGAGCTAACTGCAACAGAGACTGTATGGTCAAAAAAGCCTAAAATATTTACTCTCAGGCATTTTACAAAACAAGTTTGCAAATCCCTGCTCAGCACAATCCTGCCTAACAGAAATATAATGCAAGCCACATATGCAATTTAAAAAATTCTACTAACCACATTTCAAAAAGTAAAAAGAAACAGGTAGAATCTATTTTAATAACGTCCTCTGATTAAACCAGTATCCACAATGGTATAATCAGAATAATATTACTGAGATACTTACATCTTTTTCTAAAGTCTTCAAAATTTGGTGTCTATTTTATAGTAACAGCACATCTCAATTATAACTAGCCATATTTCAAGTGGTCAAGTCATATTAGACAGCGTGGCTCTAGAAATTACCATGTGCACATTTAACTGATCATATTACATTCTATCTTGACTTAATGTGTAAGAACCTTAAAAATATATACTTCCCTTTATCCCTCATCCTTTGTGCTATTGTTGTTATACGTTTTGCTTTTACATGTGTAATATATTTCAGAATGCATTGGTATTGTTGCTTTAAGGAGCCATTTTTCATTTTAAAAAAATTAAGAAAGGAAAAGGAAAAAAAGTCTTAACATATCCCAGTATTTACAGTTACTGAAATTCTTTATTCCTTCAATAGATCTTAGTTTGGTATAATTTCTCTTCAGCCTGAACAAATTCCTTTAACATTTATCATAGTATATATTTCCTGGAATCTAATTCTGTCACCTCTTGTCTGTCTGAAAATATTTGTATTTCACCTGCATTTTTTTTTGTAGTGGTGGATTTATATTTTATTTCTGCATTTTTTTAACAGTTTATTTTGAAGTAACTGTAGACTCCGAAATTGCAAAAATACATACAGCCTCCCTATACCCTTACCTACCCTTTCACCCAACTCCTGCAAATGAAAACATTTTACATAACCATAATATAATTTTACAAAGCAGGAAATTGACATTCATATACTACCATAAAATACAGACCTTATTAGGATATCACCAATTTTGACATGTACTCGTGCATGTCTGTGTTCCTTAGATATTTTATAACATGTATGGAGTAACCACCACAATTATCCTGCAGACCTGTTCCATGACCACGTAGGAATTGCTCATGCTATAGTGACACTCTCTTCCCAATCCTAATCCTCAGAAAGCAGTGGGTTTATTCTGCATCACTGTAATTTTATCATTTTGAGTGTATCATATAAATCAAATCTTATGATATGTAACTTGTTGAGAATGGCTTTGTTTCATTCGTCATCATGCCCTTGAGATCGATCCAAGTTTTGTGTACATGAGCAGTTCATTCCTTTTTATTGCTCAGTAGTAATCTGAAGTATGGATATACCATTGAAGAACATTTGGTTTCTTTCCAGTTTTTGTCCATTCACTATTCAGTAGGTTAGCTGTAGACATTTTTATAGATGTTCTGTATAAAGTTGAGGAAGCTCCCCTCCATTTCTAATGTACTAAGAGTTTTCATCATGAATAGGTGCTGAATATTGTCAAATGCTTTTTCTGTATCAATTAATATGATCATGTGATTTTTCTTCTTTAGACTGTTACCATAGTGGATGACACTGGTTTGTGGTTGAATATTAAATTAGTCTTCCATTCCTTGAATCAACCCCACTTCGTCATTTTATATTATTCTTTTTATATGTTGCTGGATTTAATTTGCTAGTATTTTAATGAGGAGTTTTACATCTGTGCTCATGAGAGCTGATGTCTGTTGTTATCTTTTTATTCTACTGTTTTTGTTGGTTTTGGTATCAGGGTAATGGTGACCTTATGAGTTGAGAAGCCTTCCTCCTCTTCTTAATTTCTGGAAGAAAATGTATAGAATTGATCCTGTTTCTTTTTCACGTTTTGCAGAATTCTCTAGTGAAACCATCTGGGTCTGGAGATTCCTTTTTAGCTATGAATTCAATTTCTTTAGTAAGACTATTCAGATATTTATTTCAAGAGTAGGCAAACTTTTCTGTAAAGAGCCAGATGGTAAAAAATTTAGGTTTTGCAGGTCATATGGACTCTTGTCACAACTATTTATCTCTTGCATTTTTATTATTTCATCTTGAGTTAGTTTTGGTAATTTGTGATTTTTCCAGGAATTGGTCCATTTCATCTGAGCTATCAAATTTTTGTTGGTATAATTATTCATACTATTCCTTTATTCAAATCCCTTAAATGCCTGTGGGGTCTGTAGTGATATTTGTTTCTTCCCAGATACTGGTAGTTTGTGTTTTCTTTCCCTGTTAGTCTTGCTAGTTTGTCATTCTTATTGGTCATGTCTCAGAACCAGCTTTTGATTGATCATTCTGTATTTTTTAATTGCCAATGTTATTGATTTCTGCTCTAATTTCTATCTTTCTGCTTGCTTTGGATTTCTTTTTTTTTTAATTCTTTTTTTGACAAATATAATTGTATATATCATATCTATGGGGTACAATGTGATGCTTTGATATATGTCTACATTGTGGGATGTTTAACTCACACTAATTAACAAATCCATCATGTCACATACTTGTCATTTCTTTTTATAATTTCTTGGGGTGCAAACAGATTATTAAATTGGGACTTTTTGTCTTTTCTAGTACAAATATTTAGTATTATAAATTTCCCTTCTAGCATGACATTAGCTATGTCCCATGTTTTGATATGTTGTATTTTTATTTCCATTCGGTTCAATGTATTTTTTAATTTTCCTGGGGTCTCTTTGACCCATTTAAAGGGGTCTTTAAATTTTAAAGCATTTGGAGATTTTCCTATTATTTCTTTCCTTCATCTTGATCTTGGTGTATTTTCTTCCCTTTTTTCCAGTTTAGGTAGAAGCTTAGGCTATTGATTTGAACCCACTATTTTTTCTAATGTAAGTATTCCATGCTATAAGTGTCCTGCTAAACCCTGTTTGTACTGCATCCTGTAAATATTTATACATTTCAATTTTGTTCACTTCAAAATATATTTCCCCTTGAGACTTTTAATACCTTATTTAGAAATGTGTTAATTCCCAAGTATCTGAAGATTTTTTTTTCAGTTATTGATTTCTAGTTTAATTATATTATGGTCTAACAATATAAATTTGTTAGGGTTTGTTTTATGGATAGGATATGACGGTCTGCCTGGTTGAATGTTCCAGTTGCAGTTGAAAAGAACATGTATTTTCCTGTTTGGGGGTGAAGTAGTCTATAAATATCAGCTAGATCCCATTATCTTGTGATGTTACTGATTTATTTTATATTCCTGCTGATTTTCACTCTAGTAGTTATATCAATTACTGAGAACAGAGCTTTCTAGTTAGGGAGATGTGCGATGCCAACTCTTTGCTGTTTAATGCACAGCAGGCACGGTCAAAAGGGCAAGTGCCTCTCCAGTTTCTGAGGCCAGAGTGGAGGGTTGCTGTTGCTCTGATGTTTGCTCAGTGCAAGGTGGAGAAGGTTGGTAGCTCTCTACTACGGTCTCTACAGTGTCTGGTGGGGAGGAAGACAGGTACCACATCTGCTTGTGTTAGTGCAGGGAGGAACAGGCTATATGGCTCTGCCTTACAGTTTTGGTAGTCTCCTGGTGGGAAGGAAGGGGGACCACCTCAGTAGTACAGGCTGGGAAAGGTTGTCAGAGCTCTATCTCACAATTTCCCTAACACCCAGTGGGATAGGGTATCACCTTGTTAGTGTGAGGACGGTCAACAGGGCTCTACCTGTCTCCACAGTGCTTGATGGGGGAAGGGTAGGTGTGCTCCCTGGTTAGTGTAGGGTGATGATACTCAACAGGACTGTACCCTCCCTCTTCACCCCACCCTTGCCACCTCCCCACCGCCCCCACCATCCCCCCCACCCCGCCGCCCCGTTTCCACAGCACCTGGAGAGAAGTAAGGTACAGCTTCTTTCATGGTGTTCACCTAGGGTTCAGCAGGTATAAAAAGATTCTGTCCTGTAGACCTGTCCTCCCCCAGGGCTATTGGTTACATAGAGCATGTTTTTCATGTTTGTTTTTTTTTTTTTCCAGTCTGTGCATATTGCTGTTTCCAGAACGCAGGCTCTTTTATGGCCCAGGCTGGGGTAATAGGAGGTACTAAAGTACATGGCGGGTGGAGACTCAAGGGAGGGTCATTTTTAGAATTTTCAGTGTTTTGATAGGTGCTTTTTGTCCACTCTTTAATTACCAGAATAAGGTGGGATGCTTACTCTTTCTTGTCTATAACTGGATGCCCCTCACTTTGATTTTGAAAGCTTCATTGAATATGGAATCTATTCTTTCAGAACTTTAAAAAGGATGTTTCCATCTTCATAGGTCTGTTTTTTTTTCTGCTAAGAAGTTAGCAGTTATTCTTATTGGCCCATTTATAATGTATTTCTTTCTGTGGCTTTCAAGATTTGCTTGTTATTTTTGGTTTTGTAAGGATGGCTGTCTTTTGTTTATTGTGCTTTGGGTTCGTAGAGCTGCTTTTATCTGTGGGTTGATATTTGTCTTCAAATTGGAAAGGTTTTGTATGATTTCATCAATTTGTTTCATGCCTTAATCTCTCTTATTTCTCTGAGTTCCAAATACATGCATGTTAGAATACTTTACCTTTTTCATAGGCAGCTAAATAACTATTTTTTTAAATCAGTCTTTTATGTTGCTGTACCTCAGGTTGGGTGGTGGTGTTTTTTTTGTTTTGTTTTGTTTTGTTTTGTTTTGTTTTTGCCTGACCTCTAGTTGATTGTCAAATCAGCTGTTAAACCTAGCCAATGAATTTTTCATGTTATACCCTGTATTTTTCAGTTCCACAAGTATATTTCTTTGTATGTTGAGATTCCACCTCCCCCATATCTGTTCATTAATTATGTTCAACTTTAATTCCTTGAACATATTTATGTAGATGTTTTATAGTCCTTGTTTGATAATTGTACCATCTGGATCAGCCCTGAATCTCTGTTAATTTTTTCTCCTGGTTATGGGTCACATTTCCTGCATCTCATTTGTAGTAGTTTTATTGTATACTGAACATTGTGGATGCTGTGGTCTTTAGACTCCAGATTTTATTGCATTCCTTTAAAGAGTTTTGAGGTTAGTTCTGGCAGACAGTTAACTTACTGGTGACTAAACCTGATCATTTTATAAGTTCTGTTCAGGCTTTTTTGGCCTAGTCTGCAGTAAATCTTAAATTGTGGCCTTTCTTAGGTCTGTGTTATTTTCCCTTCCTGAGCTTTGTTTTAGATCCCTAAGTTATTTCACATATTTTGACTAATTTTGTTTTCTATTATTTATTTATGGGTTTTCACAGCAGAAGGGGAAGTCTGGTATCAGATTTTCATGGCCAGAGTGGAAGTAGTGTTGCTATTTTTCATAGCTTCCCAGTCGATTCTGATGTGCATTCAAAGTTAATAACTATTCTAATGTAGGGTTTCTTGACAGCTGCACTGTTGACATTTGGGAGCTGAGCTGTTATTTGTTGTGGGGGTGCTGTCCTGTGATGTAGGATGTTTCGCATCATTCCTAGTACTTATCTACTAGGTGTCAATAGTATCTCCTCCTAGCTGTAACAACCCAAAATGTCTCCAGAAATTGCTAAATGTCCTCTGTGGGGCAGGATCAACCCAGGCTGAGAACCAATGCTCTATCACAGTAGATTATTGCATTGCCTTGAGCCCTTTGCTACTCAAAGTGGGGTGTGCAGACCAGCTGTATTGGCATCATCTGGAGCTTCTCAGAAATACAGAATCTCAGGTCATACTCCTAGACCTTTTGAATGAGATCTGCATTTTAACAAGTTATGATGATCTGTTTGCTTTCTAATACTCGAAGAATAATGCCGTAGAGCAGGGGTCAGCAAACCTTTTCTTAAAAGGCCAGAAAGAAAATATTTTCAGTTTACTTTCCATACAGTTTTTGTCAGAACTATTCAACAATGCCATTGTAGTGCAAAAGCCCACATAGACAATACATAAACAAATTGATGTGGCTCTGTTCCAATAAAACTTTATTCACAAAACAGGCAACTAGCCAAGCCAAATTTTGGCAACTCCTGTTATAGACTATCCTAATCAGACCCCCTCAGTGTACTGAAGACAACAGGTGGTTAAATTCTTTGATGAGTGCCTTGCCATATGATGTCATTTGCTGATGTTCAAGAGAGATTAAGTGTATAGATTACACAGTAGATGATTCTGGAAATTATAGTAGCTTGACTTCTATCCTTACCTAAGTGGAGATATCTCCCAGCCTTGCACATGTGAGCTATATGTAAATGCTGCTCTATGATTTGATAGCATAATTATTATTTGTATTATGCTTTATAGGCCTACTGGAATAATTATTCACTTATTTTGACTTTAGTTAATAAAGCTGACAAACTTATGAAAAACTGCATTAATGTGACTTCGTTAGCTCAGAAAGAGTAGTTTAAAATGAGTTATTTAACTCTAAAGTGAGTCATTTAACTCTCAAGTAATTTTTTTTCATAGGAAAGCTAGTAGTTTTTAAAACATCCTTTGTTTTATGTAGGACTCCTTTCTGACACTTCCAAAACTCTGTATCTAGAAAGGGGAGGGCTGTTTGTTTGAAGGGTGGCAGTTTAAAGGTTGAGAAGGTAGTAGCTATTCTGAGAATGATGGACAGTGAACAAGCTTAAAGTATTTTGCTTTGTTTTATAAATTTCTTCTCTTCTAAGTTAGTTACTTGATAAATGGTGCTGAGGGGGCATGCCAGATGTCACCAAAGCAAAGCAGAAAAACTCGACTTTCAGCCAGTTAAGTGGTGATCAGGAAACTGATTCCTGGGACTTTGGCCAACAGGAATGATGAAAACATAGAAGTAGCTCCCGAAACTTGCATAAGTAACCAGTTAATTTGTTTTATATTAATACCACTTAATTTGCTTTATATTAATATCTATTCGGTCTATACTGGTTCGTCTGTATAGCTTTCCAAGAGACATAACACTATAGCTACCCCTGAGGCAGTTTTCTTTGGCTGTGTACAGCCTCATCCTTTGCCCACTGTACAGTGGACACTTCTCAGTTGCCATGGAATCAGAAGGTAAAGAAAGAATCACATTAATGACCAAAATATTTCTAATTATGGCTATCTTACCCCCTTAAGATTAAGCCCAATTTTTTGGTTTTGCCAAGAAAATTCAGTTTTCATATTCTATCCTATTTATTTTTAGATTATAAATTACTTAAGAGATGGCCTACTGACGTGGTTTAAAAGAACCACTCAAATTATATCCAGATTTGCTTGTTGGATGTTTATAAACTCTTAAAAAGTGTAAATCTTTAAGATCTTTACCTAAAAATTACTTCTCAGGAAAAATAACACGCAAAAACTTGATCTTGTATAACATTTTATTTAGCATTCTTACACACTACACAAAATAAATACTTGGATAACTCACGTCTAACAAACTAAACTATATATGTATTTTTTCCATAGGAAAGCACAAGGAGAAGACAGAAATATCAAGAGTCTCAAGAACCTTTGAATGAAGTAAACAGTTTCCCACAAAAAATCAGCTATACACAATTCCCAAACTCATTTTATGAGCCTCATCAAGATTTTACCAGTCCAGATATATTCAAGAAGTCAAGATCTCCATCTTGGTATAAATACACTTCCACAGTCAGCACGGGGATCACAGACTTAGAAAGTTCAACTGGACTTTGGCCTACAATTTCCCAGTTTACTCTTAGTGAAGAGACAAACGCAGATGTTTATTATTATCGCATCATCATACCTGTCCTTTTGATGTTAGTATTTCTTGCTTTATTTTTTCTCTGAAGATGATACCAAAATTCCTTTTGATAATTTTTTAAGTTTCCAGCTCTTCACCGAAATGTTGTATTCTTATTTCAGTGTTTCCTTCCAGACATTTTTAAGGTAATTGGCTTTAAAAAGAGAACATATTTTAACAAAGTTTGTGGACACTCTAAAAAATAAAATTGCTTTGTACTAGAAATAGTGTCATAGAATAGTGTCATAGTACAGTTTGGAAAACACTTCTGAAGTTTCAGATCACCTAGGAAATCTAGAAAAGGAGTTTAATGTTTTTGATCAGAGAATTTGAAAAATAGAAATACAGAGAATGAGTTTCAAAAGTTTTAGATAAACTGATATACTATATAGATCTATCTTCTAGAACATATTACTGAAAGCTAGGCACATTTTATGAGATGTGATTAACAATTTGCTTACCTTACTACAATATGGACATTCACCAAATATGATGTTAAAACTCTGTCTACTAGTTAGTAGTCCTCTCAGCCACTGCAAATTTTAAAAGATAAAGGAGAAGCGTCAGCATGATTACAAATTACAGATACTCCAAATGTCATTCCCTTTGTTTTTAAGTGCATTATGTTTTTATTCCAGAAGACTTAGCTTAATTTTGTTTTGCAAGAGTAAGGGATGTATTTCCTGAGCCAATAGCAGACTATTAAGATGTTGAGTAACAAGGGAAATCAACATGGAATTGAAGGCCTAAACCACTGGTTTATAACCAGATTATGGGCCCCTTTAAGAATCTGATAAGAATTACGCATTTTCTTTATCCCCAGAATAGACATACATAAAAATAATGCATACTAAGTTCCTGGCATTCATAGACTTTCCCTAAATCCATTAATCACAAATTAACAACTCCTGCTGTTAAAGATACTACAGGCTCTTGAAAATTTCCCTCTTAGTTCTGGTCTGAATCACTAACAGTGGGTTAATTTTCAACCCATTGATTATAAGCATGAGCCAGTGAATTTTTAAAAATTAAATGAATATTCATAATTACAAAAGAAATCACATGTTCCCTTAGAGTATTTCTGTAATTTGACCTGTATTTCTGTAATTTCATGATTTTATATAAGGTAAATAGATGCCTCTGCCTAAGTTCTCCATTGGCAAAGTACAGACGGCACCAACTGCTACCTCTAATCACAAAAGTAAAGATGTGATATTAAGGAAGACTGAAACCGAAGGCAACATACAATTGCAAGGTGTTCTGTATATAGTTACACACAGTTTATCATGTATCAACTAGGCCCTAAGGTGAAGCCAGGCACTAAAGACAGGAATGAAAGTAGACTTCACATACAGTAAGTAAAGTGGCATTGCCTGAGTGCTGTGAGACTCAGATCACAAAAGGCATTCTTCTCAACATGAAAAGTAGTAGTATTGGATATATTCTATTCTTAAATGCAGCCTGAAAAGTAATAGATACTACATAGTACTAATTTCATTTTCACTGTATTACTGCCACTTTCAACCACCTCCACCTCGGGTAAACCTATGAAGCTTACATTGTGGTAACAAGGAATTTATAGAAAGATTCCAATGTACCATCAATTTAATTTGTTATGTGTCAATAAGCTAGTCCATGAATATATTCTGGATAGATTTTCTCCCTTGGATACTTCAGAACATTTCTCCACTCATTAGTAACTGTGATGAAGAAATGAAGCACATAAGCATCTGGAATAAACTGGTAAAAGGAGTTAATGGCAAAAGAGAGGATCACTATTGACTCAACAGATTTTAGATTCTGTGTATTTCAAACAGGAATACTTCCTATGTTGTGTTAGCGGAAAAAAGTCTTGACAATATTTTTATTTTTTACCTCATATAAGCATATTTGATGGAAAGGTTGTCCACACTGAGAATTATCACACACTTGATCAGGAATGGTACCGTCAAGTTGATAAGCATAACAAATTCCACAATCCATAGTAAAATCCTTCAAAAGAAAAATATTTATAAAAAGCGTATGTGTCTCACTAACTTATTCGTTGTACATATTTGGGAGGGTATGTGTGATATTTTGATACATGTATACAGTGTTTAATGATGACATCAGGATAATTAAGATATTCATCACCTCAACATTTACCTTTTATGTTGGGAACATTACAATTCTTCTAACTACTTTAGAATACGAAATCATCTATGTGTTTAAAACACAAGGTAAGATCAGGAAGAATGTTTTATAAATATAGTTTTTATAAAGGTGACTATATTGCTGTATTATAGGAAATATAATTACATTACTATTTAACACCTAGCAAAGCTATTGTAGGGTGTTTCCTTTTCCACTCAAATATACACAGCTAGGCTAAAAAAAGAGATTCCATTTTTGGCTGGCAAGATGTTTGGGCATCAGTAATATTCCCATATCATACATTGTTATAATGTCCCTGATAGTATTTAAAGAAAGGAATTGATATTAGCTAGTGATTACTAAACAGCACAATTCTGTAACTAAAGGAAAAAGAAACTCACTACCATTTAGTAGTCTACAACCTTAGCAGCCTTGTCAAAAATCAATTCTATTATTTTTGCAGTATAGTGGTATCTATTCAATTTTGAGAAACTATAACTGCTTCACAAACACTTACATCAAGCTAATCAGTATTTGAGCCATCCATAAACAGACTATGTAGAAAAGCCAAACATCTCATTAGCTACTTTGGAGTTCTCCCCTTATTTTTAATAAATGTCTGTCATTAATGACGTCACTACTGAAGACCATGAAAAAAGTATATAGTTGACCCTTGAACAACATGGGTTTGAACTGCACAGGTCTACTTATACACAGATTTTTTTTTTAACCAAATGCAGATCAAAAATACAGTACTGACAAGATGCAGAACCTGTGTTTATGTGAAATCTCTGTATACAGAGGGCCGACTTCTTCTATATATGGGTCCTGCAGGGTAACTGTGGAACTTTAATGTCTGTGGATTTTTGTATCCATGGGCAGCCCTGAAATCAATCCCCCTGTTCCAAGAGACAGTTGTACTTAACAACCAATCAAAGGTAAACAAGTTTTTTGATGCAGATCAGAAGTCTGTGTTATAATATTTTTCTAATTCCCTCCTTTTTCAGCCTCATTTTTCACTGAGAGAAGCATTTAAACTTCATTATGCAATACTGTCTGGAATATCAAAACACTGATAAAACTTACAGATTTTTCCAGGATAGCACGAGCTGGAAAATCAATTTCTAAAACATCTTTCAAATTTTGTAACACACTATTTTCTGGATCCCTGAAAGCATGGGGAAAAAAATTATGCTGTGAACTTTGTAAAATCACCAAAAAGTAAAAATTATATTGCCAAGGTACCTACCACAAATGTATGTTCCTGCTCAGCTTAATTCCCAGGGGTTTTACCACTTCAGATTAAAAAAAAAAAATTTAATAATTGCATGCTCTACTCTTGGTTTCTAAAGCCACATTTGATACAGAATGTTTCTTAACTACTTGATTAGAAAATCAAAATTATATGTATTATGTTAAAAAACAAAATTATACAGTTCAGAATGCTGAGACATTGTCATTTAAAATAACTATCATTATTGCGGTGAACCGAGATCGCGCCATTACACTACATACTGGGCAACAAGAGCAAAACTCCGTCTCAGACAAAAAATAAAAACTACCATTAATATACTAATATTGTCTAATAATTTAACAATGCTAGGCAAGGATTTTATGACTCTATTAAAAAACGTTTAAATCTCAGATGTCATACCATGGTCAGCTCCAAGAAAGAAGCACTCAGGAAGCATAGTAGGATGCCTGGGGTCTACCTCTATATTTATGGAAACATTATTACCTAGAATGAAACAAGATTAAATCTTTTAGAAGTAGAACAGCTCATCAAACAACCCAATAAAAAATAAAGAGGTGTTGGTCTGGCTACCTATTTCACTGTATACCCACGGAAAGATTAACCAAATGTTTTGTAGTTTTATGTAATGGTAAATATAATTGAACCAAAAGAAGTAATTTTGATATGATTATCATTGAAAGGATCTTAAATTTCAGCCAGTCAACAAATTGATATATTTAATTAGATTGCAATTCTGGTCAACTGTATTAAAGTTTAAATAAAAATGTTCTGTGGAGTGATAAAGGTCTTTAATATCAAAACTATCACAAGTCACATGTTTAAGAAATAACTATCTAAATTATTTTTCATGGCTTTCCTGAAAAAGTTTACATTTCATAGAACTATGGCCAAATGTAAAAAGACCAACAATACAGTAAATGGTAAAAACAAACATTAAAGATTCAAGTTTTATAAAAATTTATAAAAACATTTTCTGTATTATTTTGCTGCATGTGAAACTTTCCCTTATAATTTAACAAAAGATTTCATTCACATTGGCAATTGTTCATTAATAACCAAAACAATAAGTAACCTAATTTCGCAAGACCTAAGAAAATTGGCACTAGGTTCTTTTATACATTTTAACTGTACTGGACTACAGCGTAAGTTTCAGAAATTTTACTTCTATTTTTTGAAGGTACATAGTGTAACTGCTTAAGATCAATTTGGATTTCATTTTCATCGTAAAAATGTCTTGATAAATTCCATACACTGTAGAATAAGCCTTTCACTAAGGCTGGCATCAACATAAATGCAGTTATTGCATATCTGGCAAAAAGAGGTCATTAACAGAAAAAAATGACTAGCCATTCAATGAGACAAATAAAAATACAAAAAGTTATAATCTCATTTGGTAACACATTATTTACTATGAACAGAAATTTCTTATTAGCCCTCAACACTGTCATCTGGTAATGGCTCCAGACAGTACTTTCACGTAATATGGGCATATTAACTAATTTTTCCAATCACTTGTTCAAAACTTGGTCTTAAGAAAGCAAATCATGCCTGGAGGAGAAAAAAGAAGCTAAAAGGTAAATAGGGAATGAATTAAAAACTAGACTATGTATGCTGAATGAGAAATATAGTAAGTATATTTAATCATAACCTGATAATTACTTTAATGGGGCCACGAAAATAATGATTTACTACATTTCTTTGAAGAAAATATTTTCATTCTTAGTATCTACTTGTTCACAAATATACCATAATTTGGTTAATTGTTCCAAATTAAACACAGTTAGACTTTTTGAAACCAGGAAAGTACCAATACTATTTGTAGAACTGCTGTAAACTATACTTTCTTCTCGTAATACCACGTATGTGACATTCTTCCCCCAGATAATCTATATTATACCTAGGTATAAAGTATAAAAATTGCTCACTAACTTGGATGTGATTCACATCAGAATTTCAAAATACCCTTGAACAACATATCTATTTAGAAAAAAAGAAATGGGTATCTTAAAACTAGCTATGGTATTTAATGTGAGCTTAAATATAGTTTATCTAAAATCTTGAGAAAGGCTGAAGTCACATGTTTTGCTTGCTTATAATGAAAATACACAGCCATTTTATAGTCGAGAACATGATAACATTGCACAGGTATTTATGATTATACCATATCTCATTCATAAATTTCATATACTTGTGAAGAAAATACTTAAAACTATAAATTCTTTCTCTGTGCTTTCTGTTTACTCTTCAGTGGCATGGTCTACTGCAAGTTCTTTTATCTTCCTCTGTATTTCTAACAGAAAATATTCCCAGATCTGAGCACACTAATCTGAGAAGATTGTAAGCTTCACAAATGAAGACTGCATTATTCTGACTTTTTTCTTGTTCTAAGTAATGTAAATTTTGAGTTACCTGTTCCACGATTCCTGTGCTAATTAGCAGCTAATTAAACTCTACTTCTGAATGTTACCTCCATTGGATCATCACCTTTTATAATGAAACACCTCAGTACTTCTCCTTTTCACCTAAAATATTTACATTTAAATGTGTAGCCAAAAAAAAGTTTATACTAGAAAATTTTAATAGTTGACTTCATATAAAGAAGTCTGAGTCCAACTGTCATTGTTAGATTTATTTTCATAATACAAAATAAAACACCTAAAAACAAACCCTTAATCCTCCTTGTCCCTACCTAATGCAATTCTGCGTGCTGTTGCACTCCGTGGAGGTTTTTCTGGCTCAAGTACCCAGGTCTTCTCATCGATTTCATCCATAACATCCCAGAATGCCTTTAGTGATTCTATTGCTGCCAAAAACTGACTATAAATGCTTATTAAGGAGCTCTGTGAAAAAAATGAAAGTTGAATAAGTTATATGGTACTCTACCAATAGCAGATAATCTTTTACTTAAAATACACTCAATTTAGAAATTTTAAGCTGTTTCATTTTAGCTACAAAGTAGACTCCAGTAAACAGTAGTCGACTCTCCCTGCTTCACATCTCTTCCTACAGCGTTTACAGGATTCTTTTTTATTGACAGTAGACTATACACCTGAGAAAGAATGGTTTTTTAAAAATCATAATTTTTTTATTATAATGCTTGATATACTACACGTATGCAATAGTAATGAGTACAAGATGTATGTACACACAACTTTAATAAATATTAATGTACATGATATAGCTAACATTGGACCTATACAAAATGTCTATAATATTTTAGTATGAAAATCTTAATTTCATGTTTGCTGCAGCAATCAAGTTAAATGCAGTGCTATTTGTAATTTAGTGAGATTACCTTTAAATATTATTAAAAACTTTGGAGACCTAATTAGGCAGAGTATGAAAAGGTTTTACACATTTTTAAAGAATTAAAACAGAAGGTACAAATGATGTTTTTCCACATTTAACTTTTAGCCAATCTCTGAATTCAGCATTTCATATATTAATCCCTTTATAGGAATTAGCTTAAATATAGTTTCACTAAATAATAAGTAATGCCATCACTGACTTTAAAAATCAGTTTTTAAACAAAGGAGTTTCTCATGAAACAATGTGGTATGTTTAAAAGATACAACTGCTTACTAAATACTTTTGATACAAAATCAAAACAGTTTAATAAGAAGGATTTGTTTCAAGTACACAAAATGTAAAGTCACATACTACAAACGTTTTCAATCTGAAATAACTGGCCACACCAATAATTTAAGAATATGATACACCCTAAGATGAAAAGAAACTAGCCACTTCCTTAAACATGTATTTTATACCTAATACTTAAGGAAAACCCATCCCATTTTGTCACTTCAGTCAAGGTTTACACTTGGATGAATTCATGCTCAGTTCCACTGTGCTGGATTCAACTGTTCTAACCTTCTACACATATTTTTTTAAAAAGTGGGCCAGGTGCAGTGGCTCAGGCCTGTAATCCCAGCACTCTGGGAGGCTGAGGTGCGCAGATCACGAGGTCAAGAGATAGAGACCATCCTGGCCAATAAGGTGAAACCTTGTCTCTTCTAAAAATACAAAAATTAGCTGGGCGTAGTGGCACGCGCCCATAGTCCCAGCTATTTGGGAGACAGAGGCAGGAGAATCACTTGAACCCGGGAGGCAGAGGTTGCAGTGGGCCGAGATCGCGCCACTGCACTCCAGCCTGGTGACAGAGCTAGACTCCGTCTCAAAAAGAAAAAAAAGGTGTGAAGTAGGAATTAGAGCCTAATACCCGAAAAATAACCTTTGAGGATATTGACGGTATAATGTCTGTTCTCTTCTGGTATACTTTACTTACCTGTAAGTTTAGGTGACAGAATCCAGAAATCAGAAAATTAAACTCCCAAGAAGCTAGTTTTAAAATCAGTACAATAGTATATCTCTGTTTCTCCTTTCTCTGTCTGTTTCTACATGTGTATTTAAAATCCGTAATTACCTATTCCTTTGTATACCCAAGATAAGGTTAACTCCCCTGCCAAAAAAAGAGTTATAAAATATTTTCACAGTGGCATCTTTTATTTGAAGTTTTTTCCAATGGCATTGTCCATTTCTCTTATGCACAACTGCAAATAAAATCCTAATTGCATTTTGAACAGAAAAATGTATTCTTAATAAGAAAATAGCCAAAAACAAAACATCCCTGGAACTAGAAGTTACTTGGTAATTACAGAAAAAGTGAATTTTAAACCCTAAAAGCCATTATACGATTTTACTAGCTAGCCATTTGAGGTAGATACATTAAACATTATTTTTACATTCCAGATGGGGAAAAGAAAGATCAAAAATGTGACAAGTTGGACATAGAAACACTTCTCTTAGCAATTTCAACGAACTTAGGGGGTAGACATCAAAACTATTATATCAGTAAGCTATGCGATTAATAGTTTTTTCTCCAACTGCTTATTTTGTCCATTAAATCACTAAAAACCCTTATTTTGAATTTTTTCCCCAAATTGAAAAAAATAAATTATTTCTAAATATTACCAATGGAATTAAATACTTTATATACAGCACCACAAATGCCAAGAAATAATATGGCCAAAATTAAAATCAAAGTTCAGTAAGTATTTTGCAGGGAGATGAATTCTCTAAAAAATATTTTTAAAAATAAAAATAGCTAACATTCTTGGTGGCTGGCAAGATGGCCAAACAGGAACAGCTCCAGTCTGCAGCTCCCAGCGAGATCAAGGCAGAAGGCAGGTGATTTCTGCATTTCCAACCAAGGTACCGGCTCACCTCATTGGGACTGGTTAGATAGTGGGTGCAGCCCACAGAGGGCGAGCCAAAGCAGGGTGGGCTATCACCTCACTCAGGAAGCGCAAGGGGTTGGGGAGCTCCCTCCCCTAGCCAAGGGAAGCCATGAGGGACTGTGCCATGAGGAGTGGTGCACTCTGGCCCAGATATGCTTTTCCCACGGTCTTCACAACCCGCAGATCAGGAGATTCCCTCTGGTGCCTATTTCACCAGGGCCCTGGGTTTCAAGCACAAAACTGGGTGGTCATTTGGGCAGACATTGAGCTAGCTACAGGAGTTTTTTTTTTAATACCCCAGTGGCGCCTGCAACACCAGCAAGACAAAACTATTCACTCCCCTAGAAAGGGAGCTGATGCCAGGGCGCCAAGTGGTCTATCTCAGTGGATCCCACCCCAAGAAGCCCAGCAAGCTAAGATCCACTGGCTTGAAATTCTTGCTGCCAGCACAGCAGTCTGAAGTAGACCTGGGGCACTCAAGCTTGGTGGGGGAAGGGACATCCACCATTACTGAGGCTTGAGTACGTGGTTTACCCCTCACAGTGTATACAATGCCACGAGGAAGCTGGAACTGGGCAGAGCTCACCGCAGCTCAGCAAAGCCTCTGTAGCCAGACTGCCTCACCAGATTCCTCCTCTCTGGGCAGGGCACCTCTGAAAGAACAGCAGCAGCCAAAGTCAGAGGCTTATAGATAAAACTCCCATCTCCCTGGGACAGAGCACGTGGGGAAAGGGGCGGCTGTGGGCACAGCTTCAGCAGACTTAAATGTTCCTGCCTGCTGGCTCTGAAAAGAGCAGCAGATCTCCCACCACAACACTCGAGCTCTGCTAAGGGACAGACTGCCTCCTCAAGCAGGGGTCAAAAGACAACTCATACAGGAGAGCTCCAGCTGGCATCTGGAGGATGGCCCTCTGGGACGAAGCTTCCAGAGAAAGGAACAGGCAGCAAAATCTTTGCTGTTCTGCAACCTCCACTGGTGATACCCAGGCAAACAAGGTCTGGAGTGGACCTCCAGCAAAATCCAGCAGACCTGCAGCAGAGGGGTCTGTTAGACGGAAAACTAACAAACAGAAAGCAATAGCATCAACATCAACAAAAAGGACATCCACACCAAAACCCCATATGAAAGTCAACAATATCAAAGACCAAACGTAGATAAATCCACGACGATGAGGAAAAACTCGCACAAAAAGGAGGAAAATTCCAAAAACCAGAACACCTTTTCTCCAACGGATCACAACTCCTCGCCAGCAAGGGAACAAAACTGGACAGAGAATGAGTTTGACAAACTGACAGAAGTAGGCTTCAGAAAGTGGGTAATAACAAACTCCTCTGAGCTAAAGGAGCATGTTCTAACCCAATGCAAGGAAGCTAAGAACCTTGAAAAAAAGTTAGAGGAATTGCTAACTAAAATAACCAGGTTATAGAAGAACATAAATGACCTGATGAAGCTGAAAAACACAGCACGAGAACTTTGTGAAGCATACACAAGTATCAATTGCCGAATCAATCAAGCGGAAGAAAGGATATCAGAGATTTAAGATCAACTTAATGAAATAAAGTGTGAAGACAAGATTAGAGAAAAAAGAATGAGAAGGAATGAACAAAGCCTCCAAGAAATATCAGACTATGTGAAAAGACCAAACCTATGTTTGATTGGTGTGCCTGAAAGTGATGGGGAGAGTGGAACCAAGTTAAAAAACACTCTTCAGGATGTTATCCAGGACAGCTTCTCCAACATTCCAATTCAGGAAATACAGAGAACACCACAAAGATACTCCTCCAGAACAGCAACCACAAGACACATAATGGTCAGATTCATCAAGGTTGAAATGAAGGAAAAAATGTTAAGGGCAGCCAGAGACAAAGGTTGGGTTACCCACAAAGGGAAGCCCATCAGACTAACAGCAGATCTCTCTGCAGAAACCCTACAAGCCAGAAGAGAGTGGGGGCCAATATTTAATATTCTTAAAGAAAAGAATTTTCAAACTAGAATTTCCTATCCCGCCAAACTAACCTTCAGGAGTGAAGGAGAAATAAAATCCTTTACAGACAAGCAAATCCTGATAGATCTTGTCACCACCAGGCCTGCCTTACAAGAGCTCCTGAAGGACGCGTGAAATATGCAAAGGAAAAACCAGTACCAGCCACTGCAAAAACATACGAAAATGTAAAGACCATCAACACTATGAAGAAACTGCATCAACTAACAAAATAACCAGCTAGCATCATAATGACAGGATCAAATTTACACATAAATGTAAACGAGCTAAATCCCCCAATTAAAAGACACAGACTGGCAAATTGGATAAACAGTGAAGACCCACTGCTATGCTGTATTCAGGAGATCCATCTCACGTGCAAAGAAACACACAGGCTCGAAATAAAGGGATGGAGGAATATTTACCAAGCAAATGGAAAGCAAAAAAAAAAAAAAGCATGGTTTGCAATACCAGTATCTGATAAAACAGACTTTAAACCAACAAAGATCAAAAGAGACAAAGAAGGGCATTACATAATGGTAAACGGATCAATGCAACAAGGAGAGCTAACAATCCTAAATGTATATGCACCCAATACAGAAGCAACCAGATTCATAAAGCAAGTTCTCAGAGACCTACAAAGAGACTTAAGACTCCCACACAATAATAGTGGGAGACTGTAACACCCCCACTGTCAATATTAGACAGATCAACGAGACACAAAATTAACAAGGATATTCAGGAGTTGAACTCAGCTCTGGACCAAGCAGACCTAATAGACATCTACACAACTCTCCACCCCAAATTAACAAAACATACATTCCTCTCAGCACCACATCACACTTCTTTTAAAACTGATCACAAAATTTGAAGTAAAACACTCTTCAGCAAATGCAAAAGGATGGAATTCAATAAAATCTCTCAAACCACAGTGCAATCAAATTAGAACTCAGGATTAAGAAACTCACTCAAAACTGCACAACTACATAGAAACTGAACAACCTTCTCCTGAATGACTACTGAGTAAATAACAAAATTAAGGCAGAAATAAATAAGTTTTTTGAAACTTAAGTTATTGAGAACAAAGACACAATGTACCAGAATCTCTGGGACACAGCCAAAGCAGTGTTTCAAGGGAAATTTATAACGAAATGCCCACATGAGAAAGCAGAAAGAACTAAAATTGACACCCTAACATCACAATTAAAAGAACTACAGAAGCAAGAACAAACATTCAAAAGCTAGCAGAAGACAAGAAATAACTAAGATCAGAGCAGAACTGAAGGAGATAGAGACACGAAAAACCCTTCAAAAAAATCAATGAACCCAGGAGCTGGTTTTTTGAAAAGAGTAACAAAATAGGGGATTGGAGCCAAGATGGCCGAATAGGAACAGCTCCGGTCTACAGCTCCCAGGGTGAGCGACGCAGAAGACGGGTGATTTCTGCATTTCCATCTGAGGTACCGGGTTCATCTCACTAGGGAGTGCCAGACAGTGGGCGCAAGACAGTGGGTGCAGTGCACCATGCGCGAGCAGAAGCAGGACGAGGCACTGCCTCCCTCGGGAAGTGCAAAGGGTCAGGGAGTTCTCTTTCCTAGTCAAAGAAAGGGGTGACAGACAGCACCCGGAAAATCGGGTCACTCCCACCCCAATACTGCGCTTTTCCGACGGGTTTAAAAAACGGCACACCAGGAGATTACATCCCGCTTGGAGAGTCCTACGCCCACGGAGCCTCCTTCATTGCTAGCACAGCAGTCTAAGATCAAACTGCAAGGTGGCAGCGAGGCTGGGGGAGGGGCGCCCGCCATTGCCCAGGCTAGCTTAGGAAAACAAAGCAGCCGGGAAGCTCGAACTGGGTGGAGCCCACCACAGCTCAAAGAGGCCTGCCTGCCTCTGTAGGCTCCACCTCTGGGGACACGGCACAGACAAACAAAAAGACAGCAGTAACCTCTGCAGACTTAAATGTCCCTGTCCGACAGCTTTGAAGAGAGCAGTGGTTCTCTCAGCACGCACCTGGAGATCTGAGAACAGGCAGACTGCCTCCTTAAGTGGGTTCTTGACCCCTGACCCCTGAGCAGCCTAACTGGGAGGCACCGCCCAGTAGGGGCAGACTGACACCTCACATGGCCAGGTACTCCTCTGAGACAAAACTTCCAGAGGAACCATCAGACAGCAGCATTCGTGGTTCAAGAAAATCTGCTGTTCTGCAGCCACCGCTACTGGTACCCAGGCAAACAGGGTCTGGAGTGGACCTCTAGCAAACTCCAACAGACCTGCAGCTGAGGGTCTCTGTTAACAGAGGGTCTGTTTGTTAACAGAAAGGACTCTTAGCTGAGGGTCTGTGTGTTAACAGAAAAGACATCCACACCAAAAACCCATCTGTACATCACCATCATCAAAGACCAAAAGTAGATAAAACCACAAAGATGGGGAAAAAACAGACCAGAAAAACTGGAAACTCTAAAAAGCAGAGCGCCTCTCCTCCTCCAAAGGAACACAGCTCCTCACCAGCAATGGAACAAAGCTGGACAGAGAATGACTTTGACGAGTTGAGAGAAGAAGGCTTCAGACCATCAAACTACTATGAGCTACAGGAGGAAATTCAAACCAAAGGCGAAGAAGCTGAAAACTTTGAAAAAAATTTAGACGAATGCATAACTAGAATAACCAATACAGAGAAGTGCTTAAAGCAGCTGATGGAGCTGAAAGCCAAGACTTGAGAACTACGTGAAGAATACAGAAGCCTCAGGAGCCGATGCGATCAACTGGAAGAAAGGGTATCAGTGACGGAAGATGAAGTGAATGAAATGAAGCAAGAAGGGAAGCTTAGAGAAAAAAGAATAACAAGAAACGAACAAAGCCTCCAAGAAATATGGCACCATGTGAAAAGACCAAACCTACGTCTGATTTGTGTACCTGAAAGTGACGAGGACAATGGAACCAAGTTGGAAAACACTCTGCAGGATATTATCCAGGAGAACTTCCCCAATCTAGCAAGGCAGGCCAACATTCAGATTAAAGAAATACAGAGAATGCCACAAAGATACTCTCGAGAAGAGCAACTCCAAGACACATAATTGTCAGATTCACCAAAGTTGAAATGAAGGAAAAAATGTTAAGGGCAGCCAGAGAGAAAGGTCGGGTTACCCACAAAGGGAAGCCCATCAGACTAACAGCTGATCTCTCAGCAGAAACTCTACAAGCCAGAAGAGAGTGGGAGCCAATATTCAACATTCTTAAAGAAAAGAATTTTCAACCCAGAATTTCATATCCAGCCAAACTAAGCTTCATAAGTGAAGGAGAAATAAAATCCTTTACAGACAAGCAAACGCTGAGAGATTTTGTCACCACCAGGCCTGCCCGAAAAGAGCTCCTGAAGGAAGCACTAAACATGGAAAGGAACAACCGGTACCAGCCGCTGCAAAATCATGCCAAATTGTAAAGACCATCGAGGCTAGGAAGAAACTGCATCAACTAACAAGCAAAATAACCAGCTAACATCATAATGACAGGATCAAACTCACACATAACAATATTAACTTTAAATGTAAATGGACTAAATGCTCCAATTAAAAGACATAGACTGGCTAATTGGATAAAGAGTCAAGACCCATCAGTGTGCTGTATTCAGGAAACAAATCTCACAAGCAGAGACACACATAGGCTCAAAATAAAAGGATGGAGGAAGATCTACCAAGCAAATGGAAAACAAAAAAAGGCAGGGGTTGCAATCCTAGTCTCTGATAAAACAGACTTTAAACCAACAAAGATCAAAAGAGACAAAGAAGGCCATTACATAATGGTAAAGGGATCAATTCAACAAGAGGAGCTAACTATCCTAAATATATATGCACCCAATACAGGAGCACCCAGATTCATAAAACAAGTCCTGAGTGACCTACAAAGAGACTTAAGACTCCCACACAATAATAATGGGAGAATTTAACACCCCACTGTCAACATTAGACAGATCAACAAGACAGAAAGTTAACAAGGATACCCAGGAATTGAACTCAGCTCTGCACCAAGCAGACCTAATAGAAATCTACAGAACTTTCCACCCCAAATCAACAGAATATACATTTTTCTCAGCACCACACCACACCTGTTCCAAAATCGACCACATAGTTGGAAATAAAGCTCTCCTCAGCAAATGTAAAAGATCAGAAATCATAACAAACTGTCTCTCAGACCACAGTGCAATCAAACTAGAACTCAGGATTAAGAAACTCACTCAAAACCGCTCATCTACATGGAAACTGAACAACCTGCTCCAGAATGACTACTGGGTACATAACAAAATGAAGGCAGAAATAAAGATGTTCTTTGAAACCAACGAGAACAAAGACACAATATACCAGAATCTCTGGGACACATTCAAAGCAGTGTGTAGAGGGAAATTTATAGCACTAAATGCCCACAAGAGAAAGCAGCAAAGATCCAAAATTGACACCCTGACATCACAATTAAAAGAACTAGAAAAGCAAGAGCAAACACATTCAAAAGCTACCAGAAGGCAAGAAATAACTAAAACCAGAGCAGAACTGAAGGAAATAGAGACACAAAAGACCCTTCAAAAAATTAATGAATCCAGGAGCTGGTTTTCTGAAAGGATCAACAAAATTGATAGACCGCTAGCAAGACTAATAAAGAAGAGAGAAGAATCAAATAGATGCAGTAAAAAATGATAAAGGGTACATCACCACCGATCCCACAGAAATACAAACTACCATCAGAGAATACTATAAACACCTCTATGCAAATAAACTAGAAAATCTAGAAGAAATGGATAAATTCCTCGACACATACTCCCTCCCAAGACTAAACCAGGAAGAAGTTGAATCTCTGAATAGACCAATAACAGGCTCTGAAATTGTGGCGAAAATCAATAGCTTACCAACCAAAAAGAGTCCAGGACCAGATGGATTCACAGCCGAATTCTACCAGAGGTACAAGGAGGAACTGGTACCATTCCTTCTGAAACTATTACAATCAATAGAAAAAGAGGGAATCCTCCCTAACTCATTTTATGAGGCCAGCATCATTCTGATACCAAAGCCGGGCAGAGACACAACCAAAAAAGAGAATTTTACACCAATATCCTTGATGAACATTGATGCAAAAATCCTCAATAAAATACTGGCAAACAAAATCCAGCAGCACATCAAAAACGTTATCCACCATGATCAAGTGGGCTTCATCCCTGGGATGCAAGGCTGGTTCAATATACGCAAATCAATAAATGTAATCCAGCACATAAACAGAACCAAAGACAAAAACCACATGATTATCTCAATAGATGCAGATAAGGCCTTTGACAAAATTCAACAACGCTTCATGCTAAAAACTCTCAATAAATTAGGTATTGATGGGACGTATCTCAAAATAATAAGAGCTATCTATGACAAACCCACAGCCAATATCACAGTGAATGGGCAAAAACTTGAAGCATTCCCTTTGAAAACCAGCAGGACAGGGATGCCCTCTCTCACCACTCCTATTCAACATAGTGTTGGAAGTTCTGGCCAGGGCAATTAGGCAGGAGAAGGAAATAAAGGGTATTCAATTAGGAAAAGAGGAAGTCAAATTGTCCCTGTTTGCAGACGACATGATTGTATATCTAGAAAACCCCATTGTCTCAGCCCAAAATCTCCTTAAGCTGATAAGCAACTTCAGCAAAGTCTCAGGATACAAAATCAATGTACAAAAATCACAAGCATTCTTACACACTAATAACAGACAAACAGCCAAATCATGAGTGAACTCCCATTCACAATTGCTTCAAAGAGAACAAAATACCTAGGAATCCAACTTACAAGGGATGTGAAGGACCTCTTCAAGGAGAACTACAAACCACTGCTCAAGGAAATAAAAGAGGATACAAACAAATGGAAGAACATTCCATGCTCATGGGTAGGAAGAATCAATATCATGAAAATGGCCACACTGCCCAACGTACTTTATAGATTCAATGCCATCCCCATCAAGCTACCAGTGACTTTCTTCACAGAATTGGAAAAATCTACTTTAAAGTTCATATGGAACCAAAAAAGAGCCCGCATCGCCAAGTCAATCCTAAGCCAAAAGAACAAAGCTGGAGGCATCACGCTACCTGACTTCAAACTATACTACAAGGCTACAGTAACCAAAACAGCATGGTACTGGTACCAAAACAGAGATATAGATCAATGGAACAGAACAGAGCCCTCAGAAATAACGCCGCATATCTACAACTACCTGATCGTTGACAAACCTGAGAAACACAAGCAATGGGGAAAGGATTCCCTATTTAATAAATGGTGCTGGGAAAACTGGCTAGCTATATGTAGGAAGCTGAAACCGGATCCCTTCCTTACACCTTATACAAAAATTAATTCAAGATGGATTAAAGACTTAAACGTTAGACCTAAAACCATAAAAACCCTAGAAGAAAACCTAGGTATTACCATTCAGGACATAGGCATGGGCAAGGACTTCATGTCTAAAACACCAAAAGCAATGGCAACAAAAGCCAAAATTGACAAATGGGATCTAATTAAACTAAAGAGCTTCTACACAGCAAAAGAAACTACCATCAGAGTGAACAGGCAACCTACAAAATGGGAGAACATTTTCGCAACCTACTCATCTGACAAAGGGCTAATATCCAGAATCTACAAAGAACTCAAACAAATTTACAAGAAAAAAACAAACAACCCCATCAAAAAGTGGGCAAAGGACATGAACAGACACTTCTCAAAAGAAGACATTTATGCAGCCAAGAAACACATGAAAAAATGCTCATCATCACTGGCCATCAGAGAAATGCAAATCAAAACCACAACGAGATATCATCTCACACCACTTAGAATGGCAATCATTAAAAAGTCAGGAAACAACAGGTGCTGGAGAGGATGTGGAGAAATAGGAACACTTTTACACTGTTGGTGGGACTGTAAACTAGTTCAACCCTTGTGGAAGTCAGTGTGGCGATTCCTCAGGGATCTAGGACTAGAAATACCATTTGACCCAGCCATCCCATTACTGGGTATATACCCAAAGGACTATAAATCATGCTGCTATAAAGACACATGCACATCTATGTTTATTGCAGCACTATTCACAACAGCAAAGACTTGGAACCAACCCAAATATCCAACAATGATAGACTGGATTAAGAAAACGTGGCACATATACACCATGGAATACTATGCAGCCATAAAAAAGGATGAGTTCATGTCCTTTGTAGGGACATGGATGAAACTGGAAATCATCATTCTCAGTAAACTATCGCAAGAACAAAAAACCAAACACCGCATATTCTCACTCATAGGTGGGAATTGAACAATGAGAACACATGGACACAGGAAGGGGAACATCACACTCTGGGGACTGTTGTGGGGTGGGGGGAGGGGGGAGGGATAGCTTTAGGAGATATACTTAATGCTAAATGACGAGTTAACGGGTGCAGCACACCAGCATGGCACATGTATACATATGTAAGTAACCTGCACATTGTGCACATGTACACTAAAACTTAATAATAAAATAAAAAAGATTAAAAAAAAAAGAAAAAGAAAAAACAAAAAAAACCCAAATAGACCGCTAGCCAGACTAATAAAGAAGAAAAGAGAGAAGAATCAAATAGACACAATAAAAAAATGATGAAGGGGATATCGCCACTGATCCTACAGAAATACAAACTACTATCACAGAATGCTATAAACACCTCTACACAAATAAACTAGAAAATCTAGAAGAAGTGGATAAATTCCTGGACACATACACCCTCCCAAGACTAAATCAGGAAGAAGTCAAATCCCGAAATAGATCGATAACAACTTCTGAAATTGAGGCAGTATTTAATAGCCTACTAACCAAAAAAAGCCCAGAACCACACAGATTCACAGCCAAATTCTACCAGAGGTACAAAGAAGAGCTGGTACCATTCCTTCTGAAACTATTTCAAACAGAAAAATGACTCCTCCCTAACTCATTTTATGAGGCCTGCATCATCCTGACACCAAAATCTGGAGGAGGCACAACAGAAAAAGAAAATTTCTGGCCAATATCCCTGAACATCAGTGTGAAAATCCTCAACAAAATACTGGCAAACCTAATCTAGCAGCACATCAAAAAGCTTATCTACCACGATCAAGTTGGTTTCAACCCTAGGATTCAAGGCTGGTTCAACATAAGCAAATCAATAAACGTAACCCATCACACAAACAGAACCAAAAACAAAAACCACATGATTATCTCAATAGATGCAGAAAAGGCCTTCAATAAAATTCAATACCCCTTCATGCTAAAAACTCTCAATAAATTAGGTGTTGATGGAACATATCTCAAAACAGTAACAGCTATTTATGACAAACCCACAGTCAATATCATACTGAATGGGCAAAAGCTGGAAGCATTCCCTTTGCAAACCAGCACAAGACAAGGATGCTCTCTCTCACCACTCCTATTCAACACTGTATTGGAAGTTCTAGCCAGGGCAATCAGGCAAGAGAAAGAAATAAAAGGTATTCAAATAGGAGGAGAGGAAGTCAAATTGTCTCTGTTTGCAGATGACATGACTGTATATTTACAAAACCCTATCATCTCAGCCCAAAATCTCCTTAAGCTGATAAGCAACATCAGCAAGGTCTCAGGATACAAAATCAATGTACAAAAATCACAAGCATTCTTATACACCAATAACAGACAAACAGAGAGACAAATTATGAGTGAACTCCCATTCACAATTGCTTCAAAGCGAAGAAAATACCTAGGAATCCAACTTACAAGGGATGTGAAGGACCTCTTGAAGGAGAACTACAAACCACTGCTCAAGGAAATAAGAGAGGACACAAACAAATGGAAAAACATTCCATATTCATGGATAGGAAGAATCAATATCGTGAAAATGGCCATACTGCCCTAAGTAATTTATAGATTCAATGCTATCCCCATCAATCTACCACTGGCTTTCTTAACAGAATTAGAAAAAAACTACTTTACATTTCATATGGAACCAATAAAGAGCCCATATAGCCAAGACAATCCTAAGCAAAAAGAACAAAGCTGGAAGCATCATGCTACCTGACTTCAAACTATACTGCAAGGCATGCTGTAACCAAAACAGCATGGTACTGGTACCAAAACAGAGATATAGACCAATGGAACAAAACAGAGGCCTCAGAAATAACGCCACACATCTACAACCATCTGATCTTTGACAAACATGACAAAAACAAGCAATGGGGAAAGGATTCCCTATTTATTAAACGGTGTTGGGAAAACTGGCTAGCCATATGCAGAAAACTCAAACGGGACCCCTCCCTTACACCTTATACAAAAATTAACACAATATGGATTAAAGACTTAAACATAAGACCTAAAACCATAAAAACCCTAGAAGAAAACCTAGGCAAAACCATTCAGTACATTGGCATGGGCAAAGACTTCATGACTAAAACACCAAAAGCAATGGCAACAAAAACTGACAAATGGGATCTAATTAAACTAAAGAGCTCCTTCACAGCAAAAGAAACTATCATTAGAGTGAACAGGCAATCTACATAATGGGAGAATATTTCTGCAATCTATCCATCTGACAAAGGGCTAATATCCAGAATCTACAAGGAACTTAAATTTACAAGAAAAAAACAACCGTATCTAAAAGTAGGCAAAGGATATGAACAGACATTTCTCAAAAGAACACATTTATGCGGCCAACAAACATATGAAAAAAAGCTCATCATCACTGGTCATTAGAAAAATGCAAATCAAAACCACAATGAGATACTACCACATGCCAGTTAGAATGGCGATCATTAAAAAGTCAGGAAACAACAGATGCTGAAGAGGATGTGGAGAAATAGGAATGCTTTGACACTGTTGGTCGAAGTGTAAATTAGTTCAACCATTGTGGAAGACAGTGTGGCGATTCCTCAAGGATCTAGAAGCAGAAATACTGTTTGATCCAGCAATCCCATTATGGGGTATATACCCAAAGAATTATAAATCATGCTACTATAAAGACATGCATACATATGTTTATTCCAGCATTATTCACAATAGCAAAGACTTGAAACCAACCCAAACGCCCATCAATGATAGACTGGAAAAGAAAATGTGGTACATATACACCATGGAATACTATGCAGCCATAAAAAAGGATGAGTTCATGTCCTTTGCAGGGACACGGATGAAGCTAGAAACCATCATTCTCAGTGAACAGAAAACCAAACACTGCATGTTCTCACTCATAAGCTGGAGTTGAACAATGAGAACACATGGACACAGGGAGGGAAATATCACACACCAGGGCCTGTCGGGGGGTGGGGGACTAGGTGAGGGATAGTATTAGGAGAAATACCTAATGTAGATGTCGGGTTGATGGGTGCAGCAAACCACCATGGCACGTGTATACCTATGTAACAAACCTGCACGTTCTGCACATGTATACCAGAACTTAAAACATAATTAAAAAATAAAATAAAATACAATAAAAATAGCCACCTTCTCATTTTTTAACATAAGCGGTCTCACATCTCACCAGAGCTACTGTGCCATTGTTTAAAGGTTTTTTGTGTGTGTGTGCCCATTTGTAATGTGCAAAGTAATCAAAAAAGAAATCGAAACTTTTCAGAAAAAAAAGTGAGAGTACTAATATTAATGAGATAACATTAAAATAATAAATGTTAATAAGGACACAAAGCAACTGAACTCTCATATACTGTCAGTGCGCATGTAAATGGCACAACTGTTTTGAAAAGATTTGACAATTTCTTTAAGAACTAAATATATTCCTACCTTAACCTGGCAATTCTACTCCAAAAAAAGTGAAAAGATATATCCATAAAAATACCGTTACCGGAATGCTCACAGCAGCTACATTCATAAGCACCAAAAACTGGTAACAGTCCAGATGTTTGTCAACAGGCAAAAGGATTAACAAACCTCAGTATATTCATGCAATGGACTATTACTCAGGAATAAAAAGGAATGAACTATTGGTCCATGTCACAACATGGATAAATTTCAGAAAATGGATGGGTAAAATAAGCCTATGTAGGAAAGAGTACATACTGTATGCCTCTGTTTATAATATCTGGAATAGACATAACTAAGCTTTGGTGGAAAACAATCAAAATAATGGGGATTTACTAGGATGGGACAAAACCCTGTGATGTTAATAATGTTCTGCATCTTGACTGTGGATTGCACTGGTGTATCCATTTACTGGAACTTATGGAACACTTAAGATTTATGCACTTTACTGTTTCCAAATTTTACAAAGAACTGAACTCTAGTTAAATGTATGCATGCCGATGACATATTTTGAAGAAAGTATTCAGATACCTGCAAGTTACTTTGTATAGAACTAAAAATGGCTGGATTTATGGGTGGAAGAAAGGATGAATAAATGGAAAAACATGATAAAGCAAATATAGGAAAGATTAACTATCAAATTTAGATGGTGGATACATGGGTATTCACCATTAACTTTTTCAATGTTTCTTGTATGTCAGAAAATTTGTAATAAAACATTGGAGGGGGGAATGAATCTCAAAAATATTAAATAAATGATATAAATTACGTATGAGTTATTTGTTATAACTGAGAAAGCTGACCAAATTATTATTTCTGGATTAGGTTATAGACTAATTTGCTTCATTTAAAAAATATTTAATAACTGGCCTTTTAAAATAAATCTTCAAATCTATATATTTAAATAATATATTTAAAACCCTCTCTAAAACACACAAATACGTCTTCTCAGAAAAAAAGCTCACTATATAAGACAAATTATAATCTTTGAAATGTCTATGATAAGCATTCTGAATCAGAGAATCTCAAATAGGCTGAAAAAATACATCTTAACTTCTAAGTAAAATGTAGCATTTCCTTCAACTATGGATATAGGTAAGAAACCACAGAAATATTATCAGTAACTGTAACTTTTTCCACAATGAAAATCGTACTGGAATCACCTAAGGAACTTAAACATTAATATACAAATTCTATTCCACCCATTCCTTTTTAATTGATATTAGTTCAATACAGCCTTTATACTGGGACTTTTAAAAGTTTCTCAAGTGATTCTAATGTGCAGATAAGGTTAAAAACCACTAGTGGAAGAATGAAGAATAGCCATGCTTGTTTCAGTCCAAATATTACCAGAGTCACACTTCCATACAATTCACAAAAAGAAAGGCACCCTTAAGAACATTTTCATCATAACTTTGACTTTCGTTGTTAATGTTTAAAATAATATTCTATTTTATTCCTGCGATAAATTTTGGAATTTTTGAGGGGTATACAATAAATTTGTAAGAAATAAAACCCATTTTATACAACTAACCCACGGAAGAAACAGTTTTATCTTCAACTTAAAATAGTCAATTTGTAACCATATTCAACAAAGTATATGAGTCAAGCACTGAAGAATGCAATCCTCACTTACATCACATCAGGTTATACAAAATTAAGTAAACAAATATTACATAAATGAATGATGTCCTAATACAATTCAATACAGCAACTCTGAATAATGTGTCTACTGAGTGTTACAGTCAATACTAGATACTGGTGATACTAACAATATAGAAGATGCAATAGAGTATGCTGATTAAGATCAAAAACTATAGTCAAGTAAGTCTCATCCCTAGCTCTACCACTTAACATTAGTTGCACCTTTTTAGCAAGTTACTTACCTCCCTTAGCATTTGTAATACGGAAATAGTGTTAATCCTCACAAGATCCGAGTGAGATAATGAAGATAAAATGTCAACTTCTTAGAAGAGAGTAAATGTATAAAAATTGGGAGCCATTATTATAAGACATATAGTACTCATCCTAGAGAAGTTCACAGCCTAATGAAACAATAGCAAAATATCTGTACCATATTGGACAAAGGATTGATACCCTTAATATATATAAGGTTACTAAAAAATATTTAAAATAAAAATGAACAGATAATAGAAAAAAATGAATAAAGACATAATTCCCTAAAAAGTATATACACGATCAAATAAAAATATCCAAACTCTTAAGTTTAGAGATTATTTCACTAATTGCAGAGCTTCAGAGTTACAGGATGGTGAAAAAAAAATTAAGTATATGGGTGTAGGTCTGAATTCTCCAAAGTAGCTTTTCCATCATTAACTGAGATAGCTTAATCCCATGGTTTGGCTCCTCTCTTACAGCACTCCCCTTATTAGTTACTGCTTTTATTACCAAACCTCAGTGAAGAGGTCAGCATTTTGTAGGTCCTATTGAATCTTTATCCATGCTCTTAATCCACTGCAGAATAATCAAGAGTGGTTTTGTTCTCACTCTGCTTCATTGATTTTATTCTAATCTTTCACTGGTCCCTAATTAGTGTGGTTATATTTTAAAAATCCTCTTTTATGACAATGACAATTTTTTATTCTCTTCTTTGTACCTTTCCATATTTTCTATAACATTTTTATAATCCTAGAAAAGCACATGTAGAAATAAAAATAAGTGATCTGTTACCCATCCTTTCATTTCCTGATGCTCACAGTATAGCAAAAAAATACATTAAAGTTGATTCAATGAAATTAACATTTTAGCCATGTACAGGACTACGTTGGCTTCTCTGATATAAAAGTACCCAGTTTGCAAGGAAATCACAGCTCTCATATTGATGGTAACAAGGTATTTGATCTTAAGCAAGACATACTCAGCCTCTCTAAGCTTTAACATTGCACCTATAAT
Organism: Homo sapiens; assembly: GCF_000001405.40. Lineage (NCBI taxonomy): Eukaryota > Metazoa > Chordata > Mammalia > Primates > Hominidae > Homo > Homo sapiens. Next base: position 58,183,967 of record NC_000002.12, read on the forward strand.
TGTGGATGGTACAAGAGACAACTTCTAAGGTAACTTCTAAGGTGACTTCCAGGTATAGAAGTCAAGAATTCTAAATATAACTGTTTGAAAATCCATGAAGTAGGTATTGCTTTCCCCTTAAAAGTACCAAGATTCCCTTTCAAGATGCCAATTATTACAATGTAATCTCATTTATTACCAATTCTTGTTTATAAAGAGATTTTAACAAATATGAATACATCCATTAAATATAAATGTCTATTTATATGATTTAATATACAATAACAATTTACTCTTTGATCAAAATAATTTTCACATCAGAATCAAAAACCTTTTATATGAGAATCAAAATATTTGGATTACATTATACTTTATATCTCCATGTATTTAAAGGAGAAGTAAAAAATGCATTATAAATCTACTATTATTGTCTAAAATATGGGAGAAAAACTGCAATAGTCAATAAACTCTTGAGTTTTGGAATAGGTTTTGAACCACAAATTCTTAACAGGAATAGCAAAACAACTGTACAGCTTAAATACAGTGAAGATCCAAAAATTACAACCAGAACTTTGCAACTGTTAGATCTGCTAATCAAAGCAAAATGCCGTCTGTTTTGTGCATACATACAATAATAAGAATAAGGAAATGAATAAAAATATAAGAGAAAAATTAAAGACAACAGAAATTAGCAACAGAAAACAACCCTTAAACATACATACATAAGGCTGCATGCCCCAAAAGCAATAAACTGTCTTATAGGAAGAAAAGTATCCTAGAAATCAAGTTAATGCAGAAGCCTCTCAGCTAAGCCTTAGCATGGTATGAGAAGGAAAAGAACACAATTCTCAGCAACGTCCTGACCTTAAAAAGTCCCCCAAAACGGGAGGAAACATCGTGAGAAAGTTAGGAAACATAAAACAAGGTGAGAATAAATAATAGCCAAGTACATTCTACTTCGCCTTCCACAAAAGGTTTGCAGCAAAGGTCCGTGTTGAAGGCACACCAACCCACCACAGACTTTAAAAAATCTATTTGTTGGTATGCCTTAACGTGGGGTAGGACTGCAGGAGAAAAAAGAGGCACAGGCCAAACAAGAGAAACTAGAAAACTACCTCTATAATACTACATGCAGAGGGAGCACAGAAGCTAAGTTTAACAGGGAAATATTCCCTGATATGGAATCTAATCTTCCTATGGTGAAAAATCAAAGGTCAGAAGAATAAAAAAAAAGAATTAATCTTAAGGAAAAAATAGACATCTCCACATCATTTGAAAAGAGCAAGCATAAAGATATTAAGAGATCAATCCAATATTAAGTTCTCCTAAGGCACTTAATGAAATTCTCTGCACCTAAATCAGAAATACCCTGACTGTTCCGTATACGGGCTTGTCCATGAAAAGATCTGTATTTGGGATCTCTGTGTTAATGCACCTGAAAGTTTCTGAACACACATACTGAAAAGATTTCTGAACAAACCATCCAACTAGCATATCTGACATTTAAACCTTGAGATCATGAACCATTAGAAAGTTACTCTATTCAAAGGTCACCAAATCACGAACTTACAAAAAAACTAAATGGCTTATTCTACTTCCTGAATAGTCTTATAACACTGAAGCACCATCAGTTGCTTTTGGCAATGCTTGCCAATTTTTATGCTGGAAGTTATGAATGAGTCAAAGACCCCGATAATTAAGCAGGGTAAGGACAGGGTTGGTTATTCTTGCTCATGTTTAATAAATGAAATAAACCACTCGAAAACTGGGTATCATTATTCTAAAGCCTTAAAATGTATCTCATTTTTGAATTATTGCTTAAGAAGCACAAGTTAAGGAATCAGGAGATAAACAAAAATTCTGTTAGTTCCATGACTAGGGAATATAATTTTAGTCAAGGAGTCAGTAGTTTGGCTTGTACAGTGTTATTTTCCACTGCTGAATTACTTGTACACTTAGGTCTAAACATTTTAAAAAACATATTAGTACCTATCACTGAAATATTGAGAAACACTTACATTCTGCAAACTAGGTACAAGTGCAGCTAAGAAGTCAGTGCCTATTACCCACTGTTAGTTATACAGTAGTCACAGAAAATTTTTCAAATAGTGACAAGTCAAAGGAAGCCGACAGCAACTGTGAAGAAGATTACAATTTTCTAGGGGCAAGGAAATAATTTGAGAGAAGCCTAGTGCAGCCTTTGATTTATAAATTGATTTTAAAGAAGGCCTGCCAAGTTATACTGCTTAGGAGGTCATATATAATTGCATAGGTTTTGTTCAATCTTGAAAAATAAGTCAAATAATCAAAAAGCAAACATCAGAATTTTCTTTAAGAAGGTAAATTTCTGGGCCATAAGTATGATTGGTATATTTGGACCCTTGTCCTACATATCTTCATCTGTAGCATACAACAATGACAATTGGCCCAAGCTTGAGATTTCCCCAGAAGGCAAAGCCAGAGACAAGGACATGTATGGGGAAAATTTATTGGAAGTGAACTCAGGGAACGAAGAGTGGGGACTGGAAAGAGTGAAACACAGTAGGGAATGCCAAAATAAGGATGTGCTTTCAAGCTGGTTATTGTAGTCAATGGTAGCTATGTAAGCAGCTGTAGAAAAAGTTCCTCAGAATTCCTGTCCAAGAACCAGAATGCAAGAGCATTTTTTTCCGGCTTCCATGCCACTGGCTGAATTGCCCTAAAGGGGATTCAGTCTCTCACACTTACAGGTGTAGATATGTATGTATGCCTTGTGGCTTCCACAAGCATCCTTGGTCTTACAGCATTAGAAAATCCCTGGGGCAAAAAGAAGTAAAGTGGCGGAACCGCAGTGAATTGTTTTGTCAACATACACCACCACGAAGCTGACTGAAGCAATGTGGTTGAGTAAAAAGTGCTGCAAAAATCAAAACCAGAATGAGATATCATCTCACACCAGTTAGAATGGCAATCATTAAAAAGTCAGGAAACAACAGGTGCTGGAGGATGTGGAGAAATAGGAATGCTTTTACACTGTTGGTGGGAGTGTGAACTAGTTCAACCATTGTGGAAGACAGTGTGGCGATTCCTCAAGAATCTAAAACTAGAAATACCATTTGACCCAGCAATCCCATGACTGGGTATATACCCAAAGGATTATAAACCATGTTACTATAAAAACACATGCACACATATGTTTATTGCGGCATGATTCACAATAGCAAAGACTTGGAACCAACCCAAATGTCCATCAATGATAGACTGGATTAAGAAAATATGCCACATATACACCATGGAATACTATGCAGCCATAAAAAAGGATGAGTACATGTCCTTTGTTGGGACACGGATGAAGCTGGAAACTATCATTCTCAGCAAACTATCGCAAGCACAGAAAACCAAACACCGCATGTTCTCACTCGTAGGTGAGAACTGAACAATGAGAACACTTGGACACAGGGCAAGGAACATCACACACTGGGGCCTGTCGTGGGGTGGGGGGGATGGGGAAGGGATAGCATTAGGAGAAATACCTAATGCAAATGACGAGTTAATGGGAGCAGCAAACCAACATGGCCCATGTATACATATGTAACAAACCTGCACGTTGTGCACACGTACCCTAAAACTTAAAGTATAATAATAAAAAAAAAAAAGTGTTGCAAAGAAAGTGAAGTTGGAAGCAAGAATTACCTGATTTCTAGGCAGAAAAAGACAAGCAACTGACATAAGTTCAATTCCCTAAGAGCTAAGTAAATATATTTTGAAAACTTTTTACACATGAAATAAATTTATATAAAGCTTTAATGGTAGTAAAAGTGTTATCCTTGAAAAATCTAGAACGTGTGTATACATAAAACAACGTCCATTTTGAGTTTTATTATTGAACTTTGAGAGTTCTTTATATATTTTAAACACATCAGATATATGATTTGCAAACATTTTCCAGTCTAGCTTCTAATTCTCTTAATAGTGTCTTTCAAGAACAGAAATTTTTAATTTTGATGACGACCAATTTATCAATTTGTTCTTTTTTGGACCTTGCATTTGGTGTTATACTAAGAAATATCTGCCTAGCCTAGAGTTACAAATACTTTTCCCTGTGTTTCTTCTAGAAGCTTTATATTTATGTTTTTACATTGTTTATAATTCATTGTAAGTTAATTTTTGTATATGGATCGATGAGGTCATTTTCACTTACAGATATCTAATTGTCTCAGCACCATGTGTTGAAAGACTGTCCTTCCTCCACTAAACTATCTTTGTACCTTCGTTGAAAACAGCTGTCTGTATATGTATGGGTATATTTCTGAATTATCTATTCCAGTGATCTACTTGTCTACCTTTATGAAAATACCATATTATCCTGAAAAAAGTAGATTTTTAAGTCTTGAAATCAGGTTGTGTTAGTCTTCTAACTTTTTTTCTTTTTCAGAGTTATTTTAACTATCACAGGACCTTTGCAGCCTTTGCACATACATTTTGGAATAATTCTCTTAATTTCGGGGTTTTTTTGTTTTTTGGTTTTTTTTTGAGATAGGGTCTCTCTGTCACCCAGGCTGAAGTGCAGTGGCATGATCACAGCTCACTGCAACCTTGAGCTCCTGAGCTCAACTGATCCTCCCACCTCAGCCTCCTGAGTAGCTGGGGGACTACAGACACGTTGCCCCCACACCCAGCTGATTTTTGTATTTTTTGTAGAGACGAGGTTTCACCATGTTGCCCAGATGGTCTCCAACTGCTGGGCTCAATCAATCTTCTCGTCTCGGCCTCCTGAAGTGTTGGGATTACGGGTGTGAGACACTGCGACCAGCCATAATTTTGTCAATTTCTTAAATTAGGAAGGAAAAAAAAAAAAAGAGCTGTTGGGATTTTGATTGCGAATGCATTGAATCTCTAGATCAATTTGGAGAAAATTTTACTAGCCAAATTCTGAAAACAACCCATATGCCCATCAAAAGGTGAATGGCCAATATGTGGCACATCCATCAATACTTACCAAAAAAAGAATGAACTATATTACATGCTACAACATGGTTGAATCTCCAAGTAATTCTGCCAAGGAAAAAAGACTGGCACAGAAAAGTACCCAGAATTATATAAGATTCTGTAAACTGCAAACAAATCAATGGTAGCATAAAGCACATCAGTAGTTGCCTGAGGCCCTGGTGGAAGGTTGAGAAGGACTAAAGGGAGGGACAATAATGAGGAAGGAGGTGACTGGGATGTGATGGATGTGTTTATTATCCTGATTGTGGTGACAATTTAATGTGTGTAGATATTTGTCAAAACTCAGCAAAGTGTACACCTTAAATACATTCAGTTTACTGTATGTCAATTATATCTCAATAAAGCTATTTAAAAAACCAGTCATTCTGATTTATGAACAGTAATGGATCTACACAGCAGTAGATGTGTAGAAACTAACAGCTTCTCGTTAGTTTTCTCAACAATTAGGAACTTAAAAAACACAAAATAGTAACAATCCTCACAGTAAGGACAAAGAATGCAGAAGAGTTCATACACCCAACACTTAAAAGAATAAAACTGTATTACTTTTATATGTATATATAGATACATAAATGTATATATATTGGAGAAGAGGGAAAGATATATGTGAGAACTAAGATGTTAGCTATTTCCCCATAACTGTTATTAAATTATGTTGAGCTAGGAAAGCACTTAAGCAGGAAAGTATGAACACTGCCAATCTCAGAATGTAACGCTTATTATCTTTAAAAGCATTTTGTTACTTTCATAATACCTGAAGTGAAGTAATAATGTCAGTCACTTAACCAGATCTTAGAGTATAATATCTTCATCTTAAGTACTATTATTTCCAGTATTTTAATAATTTCCACAAAGTGCCAGAATGTGATCTTTTGTGCTATGATGACACTTAAATTAATAGCATAATTTTCTGGTACTTGCAACAGTTGTTTTCAATTCTGATCTTTTTTATTCTTCCCTATAATACTTGCAGATAAATCCCCTAATAATCCTTTTTTTTTCTTTATCTTTGGGGGATTCCAAAAGTATAAATAGAATAAGAGAATATTAAGAAATAAAGCTTTTTAAGAAATTTAATTTTAGTATTACTTGCAATATCTCCATCAGGTATCTTTAAACAGGTGATAAATCTAAATATTCAGTTCATTTGAAGTTACTTACAGGCTTCATTGATGTTTTCAACTCTTTCTACAGGTATATCTGTAACTGAATTTGTCTGGTCAAACACTGTTATCTGTCAAGCAATCCGTAAAGAACATATCACCTCTTCTATACTTAAGTTATTTTGACTATAACTGATCACTGATCACCCATCATTTAAAAAATCTGCTAGTGTTTTTCATTCATGTGAAAAGGGTATCTGCCCACAGGACCAAATGAAACATAGTCACCTCATGTGTAGCCATCACAGAGTAACTATAGCAATTCCACTTTTGAAAAGTGAAAGAAAGAAAGCTCCTCAAGCACATGCTGAAAATAAGTAGGTACTTTCAATCTTATCCTTAGCATCCTATATTGTGTACTATTCAAAAAGAAAAAAAAAAAAAAAAGGCCAAGCCAATTAGTGGACCAGAAAAAAAGAAAGAAAAAAGAAAAAAGACTAGCTTTTTGTTCCAGTTAGGTTATACCCAAAAGGGTGCTACCATCCATAAAGAAAAAAGTTAGCTATATCTAATTTTTCATCACTCTAAAATCAATGAAATAAAAAAAGATCATAAAAACCTTTACATCACATAAGTTCAAAACTAATAGAAAGAATACCAATTTGCTGCTAGCTGACAATGTTATTCTCACAGCCAGAGCCAAGGAACTAACAGTGACATCATTTAATTAATTAATTAATACTGTCTCAGTGTCTCTACTATTTACAAACTCCAATATTTTCCAATTCTATATCTATCTAATAAATTGGTTTGGCTTCTAAAATTCAACTTTTATTTTGGCACAAAAAGATGAGGGGGGAATATTTTCTAGCTCTAAGTATTAACATTTCTTAGTGATGCTAGGAGGTCATATTTGAATTAACACTTTTTGTCACTGAAGTATCTATCATTTCTGTCTTCAACCTATTGGATCTTTATTCTCCAATGGGCATGTTTTTCAGAAATGAAGGTTTAAAACTTATAAACACATACATGCATGCATGCACAAGCATATAAACACCCACATATTCCAAATTAGCCCCTGGATTATAAAAAAAAAAATTCAAATAGACATATAGACATAGTGTATCAATTTACCAGAGTCCCTGTCAGGAACAAAACATGAGAGAATGTTAATAAATTATACTCGCATTAAAATAAATTTGCTTCACTAATATTGAAAAAAATAATTTTTATCCAAAAGTATTTTAAAATATTGATCACAACATTAAAGGAGTCATTTGGAGACTGATACTCACATGTTTTCTCTTACTTAGGACACCTGCTATATAAGAATATTTTACTGAGTTACTCCAAACCATAACATTAAGCATTAAGTTCATCAAAGTACTCACAATATATTAACCAATAAAACTGTGAAACCAAACAGTATTTCTCTCAACATCTCTTATCTCTGTTATTTATAGTACAATGTATATGTAGTCACCTTCCACATCCACGTAGCCTGGTGAGATTGACCATGATTTTTCATTAATCATCCCTATTTCATTTTTGAGCATAGAAAACTCCTTGTTTACTGCACGTAAATAAAATGCTGTCTTTAAAGTCTTTAACATATACATAATTCAATATATAGATAATAATTGCTGTCTGACAGATATGTGTGTATAAATCCACAAATATACAATATCATTACACATGGAGAGAGACTACTTCTTTGCCCATATTAGCTCTCACTATATTAAGAGTTCACCAGTTTACAAACTGCATTAACTCCCTACATCACTTTGTACATTTGTACAGCATTTTACAATTCAAAAGGATTTTCATATACAACACCCCAATTTGTTCTCATATGTAATCTATGACACAGATATTCTTTCTCTCTTTTTATAAATAAGTAATTTACACAAGGTCATGCACTGGTAAAGACAGAGCCAGAATTTGATCCAGACTTTAAGACTCTGTATTCTCTTTATACTATGCTACAGTGGCTGAGCAGATATGAAGCCTACTGTGAAGGTCTATAGTAAAGTCATATTTATTAACATCAGCAAGTAAATCAGTTAACGTACCAATGAAGGCATTTGATTAAAAAAACCTGTTCCATGCAACTAGTTTCTTTGGGTCTTTAAATTCATGAGAGAGCTTTGCCATTCCACAAGTATCTCATGTGCTCAAAATGCACAGATCTCAAATCTTCTACAAAGCTTAAACCAATTTTTATAATCTTAGAAATCAACTGAAACTATAGCGATATAATATCTTCTTTAATCTGGCAAGTAAGTGAGATTCAAAGTCATATATCCATCCCACTGCCCATAAAACACATTTACTTAAGAAATACCATTGGTATTTTAGTATATGGAGGTTGAATGAGTTATAACAACTTAGAAAACTAAAGAAATGGAAAAGTTTTTTAAAAAGTGACCTCTAGGAATAATAAAAACGAGGGTGACAAAGGAAAATTAATCACCGTTAACCACATTACATTAGACATAAGTAACCACATTACTTATATCTACATAGGATACAAATATCTTCATAATAATGTAAACACTGAATATTATTATCCAAATTACAATATAGTTATTTGGGGAAAGCAGGAAGATAGGATGGAGTGAGGGTAGGTGGAGAAAACAACAAACTCCTCATTATCTACGGTGGAATTTAGTAGATAATGCCTAAAACAAAAAGTAGTATAAATACAAAAGCATGTAATGACAAATTAACTACTGAAAGAATCAGCTAACAGCCAAAAGTGTTTGCCCCTGGAGAAACAGGTGAGATGAAGGCTATGCTGTTTTTTCTAAAAAGAAAACAAAAACAACAACAACAAAAAACCTTGCAAACTTAACTTCTGAAGCTATGTTCACATATTTGATCAAAATAAAACATTTTAAAAAATCAATAGCTTGCCCACATCCTGATGATCAACTAAAAAATACAATTAAAAAGATTGCATTAAAAATAACAAAAATTTTAAAATACTTAAGAAAAAATTCAACAAAAATATGTAACATGTAGATTAAGAAATCATTGCTACTTTACTGAAGGACCTAAGTAAATGTAGAGATAAATGTTTTTCTAGATTTTGGCCATATTAATTCTTAATTTGCTGGATAAACGTAAACCCAATTGTAACTAAAACCCAAGTAATTCTAAGAATTATTTGGAATAACAAATGCACAGTATTATCAATGATATTTTTTAAATGAAACTTTGTTAAGTGACAAGCATAGTTTCAAAACAATTATACAATGACACCTCAATACTACTGCCTAAATAAAAGCATTAATGGTAACTTTACATTTTAATTTTAGTTGCTTGTATTTTTCCTCTTTCTCTTCTTTTTTAGAATCAATATAGGCTGCTTTTTAAATAAATAATTAGCTATCGAGAAAGAAAAATAAAAGAAAGGCAGCTGATAGGTGACTAAGTCTATAGGTCAAATGACTGCTACGCTTATACTTTTTCTACCATATCACATAATCTCAATAATAAATTTTCTTTGTTTTGATCCCTTTGATGTCTTTTCAGCCATACCACTGTGGCAACAGTAAGACTGCCAACAAAGAAAAAGCATAAGAAATTAACCAATTTAAGAGTGAATAAAATTCCACTACTGTAAGTCCTCCAACAAAAACAGCAGAGGAAAAAATGGAAAGAAAAAGAATCCAGTTGGTCAAAAGAACTTCCACAGGATTATTACAGTGAAAAACTAGGGGATTTGCCCCAACACTGTGTTTGTTTTAAACTCGATTTATTTTTCTTTACATATCCATGAAAAGAAAAAAGGTTCACCATTTCCATATACAGTACATACGAACTGAGGCAAAGGGCAGTTATGTGACTTGTCTGAATAATACAATTAAATTAATGACTGAATTGTAAACACAACTTAGAATACCCAAATGCTAGTATACTGCTCTAACTAATGGATAATGCTCCCTGCTATGTAATAGGACTGACTCCTTTAATTACAAATTCTTCATTCACCATCAGATTATCAGCCAGAGGCTTTATCATTAGTTTTGCTCTTCTTGCATTCATGGCATTATTCCAAGAATGTAAGATTTCCATGATAAAAAAATATAAAGACCACTATTTACTACACCACACTGAACCTGAGGATTCCAACTGCCCATGGCAAGAATACTTCACCAAGCCTGCACTTAGTGGCACACTTACAGGCAAAACCGCAATTTTCACATCCATTTTTGCTTGATCAGTGACCTGGACAAAAGGAATTTCGTTTTTTTATAATCATAATATCAGTGCACTTAAAATCTGACATTTAGGCATTCTACAGTCTCAGTCAAGAGTATTTACACATCTGACCTGTATGTAAAATTCTAAAGCATTAAGGATATATTTTGAAGCATTTGTGATGTTAGAAAGTAGAATAAAATTATGAGATGTTCTCATCGTCTATGCTAAAATCTATAAAAGATTAACTGAGCAAACAAATAAAGCAAATATCTAGAAAGAGGTGCTTAGACACTTGTCTTTGAGAAGCACTTTGTGCTTCTTTGGCACATATCATGGCAGCAATAGTAGCAGCAGCCTTGCCCTTGGTGCTGATTTCTTACTACTCTAAATGTCTCCTCTGAGCCAGAATACACTGGCTGTTGCTGATCATGCTGTGAGACACCTGCACTGGCTACTAGGCTTGTCATGACGCACAAAACCCTACCATCTTCAGCTTGACATTGTGCAAGTTATAATTATTCATCCAAATGAATATGTCAGAGCAGCAGCAGCAGACCTCTCATCAGAGCAAAAGAAAAATACATCAAAACATTATCAACCCAGCAGGAAGACAGGGACCATAAGGAAAATTACCCATTTTTAATATGGATGCCACAAAGCCATGTCTATTATATCACAAAAAAAAAAGAAAAATAAAGATCTTCCAAGTTTAAAGTCCAGAAACACTGACTCCAAAGAGAAAATACACAAAAGCAGAAAGGGATTTTTAAAAAATCAATTATCTGAAATCTATTTACCATCTCTTAAATCTAACTCTGCTATTAAACTACAACAGTAACATTTATATTGCTTGAGAGACAACTGTTTAAAAATTGTTTTAAAAAAACTCCCACAAGCAGAATTGTTTTCAGCCAGCCAATTAAAAAAGATTACACATAACAAGAAGTCTCACATTTCTTCTTATTTTCAAAACATAAACTATCAACACTCTTATCATGTCTAAAAGACTCAGAGTTCACACTGCTGGTACCATCCAAAGTCCTTATGATATACAGCCAGAATCTTATAGGTAAATGATATATTTTTTAAACTTTCTAAATATTAATGGCATGTGTAAAAGAAAAACTGTGAAATCAGCCCCCAACCCGCACAAATGAAGAAGACACATTCAAATTGTATAAGCATATAGAATATAGGGGCTATCTCATACTTAAATACTTAAATAGCAAAAATACCTTTCTGAACTATAGCAGAATATCTTTTCAGAAAAATATATGAAAGATTTTATTTGAAACACAACAGAAACCACAAGAGAAGGATGTGACCAGACTGAAAGTTAAACTCTGTATGACAAAATATATACAAAGTTAAAAGACATGCCACAGAGATATTTATATCCCATATAACTAACAAAAAATTAGTATCAAAATATAGATAAAATGTTTATAATAAAAGGAAAAAAATATAGGCTAAGGCTATGGACACAATAATAACTATAAACTTATAAGAAGGTCAGACTAAGATGAGACTAAAGCTTGCAAAGAATATGCATTGCTGAATGGGAATATAAACTTATACAACAATCTAGGGAAGGCAATTTGTCAATACTGCGTAACCCCAAAGAGGCACATAGCCTGAAATCCAGCATTTTCACTTCTAGGAAAAACCCATACTAAAAGTCTCATACATGTGCACAAGGAAACATGGAAGGATGTTCACTGCAGCACTGTTTGTCAGAATTTGTGAATAACCTTATCAGTAGTGCTACAGATAAATCAAGTTGCTGATTAACATAATGGAATAATATAAAGTATTTAAAATAAATATAGTAGACAAACATAAGATTATGGCTAAATCACTGAAATTATATAATGTTAAAAAAAGAGACTGCAAATATGGCATAAACAAATATGGCAAAAAGTATGCACGGATGGCCTATATACCAATTTTGGGTAAACAGTTACTACTTAAAGGGAGAGAAGCAAAGAAAGGAAAGATGGGAAGGAGGGACAGAAAAGGGGGTCAGGTCTTAGCTATTCTTAAAACATTTTATTTTTAAGACAAAGAGAAATATAGATGTATCTGAACCAAAAGTGACAAAATATTAACATTTGTCAAATCTGAGTTGTGATAAAAGGCTGTTTTAATTTATCTGTATTTTGCTTAGAATTTCAGTATATTCCACAAATTAAGAATTTATAACACTCATTACTACGAATTCTACATTTTCTTAGAGTTACTACAAAACAAAACTTGTATGACCCAATTAAACCTGAAACTTAAATTTGAATTAATATTATTAATATAATATTTATTCCATGCTTATATGAATAAGGCACTGAGCATGTGGATATAAAATTTAAAAGAAATTGCCTTCAAAGACTTTCCAGTCTAGTAGAGAGTCACAAACTGATTTTGTTAAATAACAAAATAAAGTACTAAACAATCTTTTCATGGCATTGCAAACTTTTCCACAGATAAATGCCTGGGGAAACTTCTAGAATTATCTACATCTAAAACACAAAGAAACTCATAAACAGTGTATTTTTCAACCTTGGAATTGTGATAAATATTAAAGTATAATTTAGAAATAACACCTGGAAAGAGTAACACAACCTAGCTATAATATTTTCTCATGATCTCACTTAAAACATCAAGATTGAACTTCCAGAGCCAAATAGAAAATGTGTATTTTAAAAAAAGGGACATGGGTCTCATGAAATTTTTTTAAAATAAAAAAAGAAAGCTATAAAATTTATGCATAATTCCAATTCTTTAATAGAAAAAAAAATCAACATAGTATTTTACTTATAGCATACATCAAAATACCAAAAGCAAATTACAGGCTCTCTCTTCTCTATTTTGCTATGTTTTCTCAACTTCCATTGTGGGGAGATTGGGACTTTAAAAAAAAAAACAATAAAAGGATATGAGAAAAATAATTTTTGGATAAATACAATATATAATTAAAATGGCATTTTGGCCTTGACAAGACTATTTAAATCCTATTAGGCTTTTTATTTTTTTACTAATTTCTTATATATTTACTTTACTCATGTATTTATGTTTTAAAATACAAGCATAATTTTTTATTTAAATCTAACCAAAATTTTATAGCCAAAATGAGTAGCCTCCATTTACGGAATATTTGTAAAATGTCACTAGAAATGTTTTTTCTCTTTGCCTAAGAATAAAAATGTTCTCTCCATTTTGCTATCAACTGCCACAATTTACTTGGTGAAAGAACTATGCCCTAACTAATCACATTGTGCCACATCCTTAAAAATCACACACATGAAATGGTGATAGTACTACCGATAATCATACCACCTTATATCTATGTTATAGTTTACAGTGCACTTCTAAAAAACATTATCTTGCTAATATCATCAATGTACTGCGAAATTCAACTGACAGAAGCAGGAGAATCTTCTGTATTCTTTACTCAAAATATTGAATGTTCTAAAGCACAAAATAAAAGAATATAATCAAAGTTTAAAGATGAACTAAGGACAAATACTTTAAAACAATAAAAATGGAGTAGAAATGCCAAGGTTTATGTTTTCAGTCATAATTCATTCTCCTCTGAAAAGGATTCTCTGATATTATGTAATCAATGTCAAAAGTTTTAGCAATATAAAACATTTCACTCAACTTTTCAGTTACCATTCACTGCTTTCTACAGAGTTCTTTGGAATTTAAATTTAAAGGAAAATGTCTGTCAAAAGTGCTTCTGCATGTTTACTGAAAATGAAGCATAAATATCTACAGGCTGGATGGTGTGTGTGTGTGTGTGCGTGTGTGTGTGTGTATTTATGCATGGGTGTGGGTGTGAGTGGGTGTGTTTGTGTGTGCATGTAGAGAGGGAGAAAGAAAATGGACATTAACTGTAAGGAAATATAAAAGAAGCATTATAGAAGGTGTGTTTATAAATAAATGCTTAAGGAAAACTGAAAAAACAAAGATTACTTCATAACCTATAATGACTACCTAAGTAAAAACAGTTACAGTTGGCCCTACCCACGGATTCCACATGTGCAGATTCAACCAACTGCAGACAGAAAATATTCAAAAATAAATAAATAACATAACTATTTACAGTATAACAACTACTTACATGGCAAATGCATTGTATTAGGTATTATAATCTAGAGATAACTTAAAGTATACAGAAGAGTGTGCACAGGCTATAAACAAAGTCCCATTTATATAAGAGATTTGGGTATGCATGGATTTTGGTATTTACAGAGGGCCCAAGAAATAATCCCCCCATGGATACTCTGGGACAACTGTACTTTTTAATTACTTAAAACAAATTTAAGAATTTACCTGAGGAGAATTTACCTGAGGTGTCCAGGAGGCACAAAATGGAACAGGAAAATCCACAAAATAATCTGGTGATTCTGCAGGATACTATTAAAAAAGCATAACATTAGACCATTTTTGCTTCTGTGTGTTAATATCACTGAGGTATTTTAGAAAAACTAGATGTATTAGGGGCCGGGCGCGGTGGCTCACGCCTGTAATCCCAGCACTTTGGGAGGCCGAGGCGGGCGGATCACAAGGTCAGGAGATCGAGATCATCCTGGCTATACGGTGAAACCTCGCCTCTACTAAAAAATACAAAAAATTAGCCAGGCATTGTGGTGGGCGCCTGTAGTCCCAGCTACTTGGGAGGCTGAGGCAGGAGAATGGCGTGAACCTGGGAGGCGGAGATGGCAGTGAGCCGAGACTGCGCCACTGCACTCCAGCCTGGGCGACAGAGTGAATCTCCATCTCAAAAAAAAAAAAAAAAAGAAAAACGAGATATATTGGGGGAAAACATATTATTATAACTGAAAATGTATTACATATAAATATTTTTGCTCCACTTTCATAGTGATGTGAAGAGCTTATTTATAGTCAACCTATGGAGGTGCAAGTTTGGTGATTTGGAAGTGCCAAAGCAATCGGTGTTGAGTAAAAGGTAATGAATTAAGTCAGCGTTGTGTCAGCTGCTGAAGTTATGATTTGAGGAATGAACCAAACTGGATCTCTGTTTATCTTTAAAATAAGAGATCAAATGAGTTGATATTTAATTTTCTTCTAGTCCTAAATTTAATTTCAAATAGCATCAGTCACTATTTAAATAGGCAGTATCAGTTAAAGGAATTAAGAAATACACAAACATGAATACATATAGCTGTCAATTTAAAAAATTATTTTCTATATTAAAGATATTAATTTTAGCAAGAAGATAAAAAGAATGAAATATCTTCTGGCTTATTAAGAAAAAATAAAACAGTTTTTAGCAAGAAAAACCTTTGAAAGATTGCTAAATACAAAATTATTTCTTCAACTAGTCATATAAAAACTGGCAGTCATGAGGACAAACCAAGTTTTTAAGTTAACAAAGGCAAAAGATAAAATTTCTTAAAATCAATTTCCTTATTAGAGAATCATACTTAATGATTTCTCTATAATCCAATTCTGATTCTTCAAAGTCACATGTAATTAAAAATACCCATTTCTTTTCATTAAAAAGCTAAATGTACTGAAAGAAAATTAGTTTTAGGAAATCTTTCATTTGACAAATTATTAAAAGAAGTTTTAGGCTTTCACTTTTTTCAGCCTCTTATTTTTCAGTACTCTGCTGGGTAAGTAAAAGGGAAGAAAAAAATCACTACAGTATTTAACAAACATTTGAAATCAACACTTTCAAAAAAATTAACATTTAGCTACAATAATAAGTTGGCTAAAAAGATTTACTATCAATATACACTCTGACTAATGGAATCTGGCTATGTAGAACTAATTAACACAAAGGCAAATAGATAAGAAATCATATAAAAATATTCCAGTGGTCTACTTCTGGAAAAAAAAAAAAAGAAAAAAATATCATGCTGAAATTAAAAGAGGAAGTTCTATTTCAGACAATTAAAAATATCAGATGATGTGCTTCAGAGTATCATTGCTGTAATCACTGGAAAAACAATTTGTATGCCATATTTAAAAATCGTGATTATCTCAAAGTAAATGTAGACAGAGACCTCAGCTTTCTTTGGTTCCAGCTCTGCTAACTAAGTTGTATGATCCTGAACAAGTCATTTAATTTCTCTGGCTGTTTCACATGTAAAAATGACAAAACTCAACTAGAAGTGTTACAAAATCTCTTTTCCTTCTAAAATGTCAAAATTCTTTAAAAATAATGTGCACTTGAAACCTCTGTGGGTCAAAAATGGAAAATTTAGTTCATTTTGAGTTGCTATTTATCTTAGTGATGCTGACAATGAACAATATCAACTCTCTAACTTCAATGAATCATCAATGTAGATAAAATAAGACTAATGAAATGTTTACTGTATTTGGAGTAGATACACAAAGTAAAGTATCTGTGGCCCCATTAAGTACATACACAGCTCATTATGCTAAAAGAGAGTAAGATACTACATTCAAGTAGGATTCAGTATAGTAAATGGTATCAATGTCCTGATATGGAAAGAGATCCACAAACAGTTAAACAAAAAAGCAAGTTAGAGTAAATATATGATCCTACATATATAAATGAGTCCAGTATGTAGTTTCTGAGATAATGACATCTTTCAAATATATTTTTATATTTGTAATACAATATGTATATAATAAATTAGACTGATCTTTATGCAAGTGGCTTTACTTCATATCTGAGTTAAATGAGTATTTGCAATATGTGTTAATTACATTCATGTGCAAAATCAATTTTGTTTATATAACAAACCTCACATAACAGTACAGAGCTTAAAAAGAACATTTATGTAAGTCTGGATGATTTATCATAAATATTAAAATATAAACTAGCATACTAGATATTCATTTTCAGAATAGCTTCTGAATTATAATAGTATTAACTACAGTGTAGATGACTAAATACAATATAAGAAAGTAACTTGATCAAAATTAAGATACTTTTCAATAATAAGTTGTATAGGTATATATAAAACCACTGACAACTAATTGTCAAAACTTTTCCTTTCAAAAGTAATTTACAACAACAAAAGCTCCATATCATATAGGAATATTAACTGAAAAATAAGTATAGTATTTAATTATTTTCAAGTAAAACATAGTTCTCCAAATCTCATTTGCAGAAAATCAAATCAATAACTAAAAAAAAAGATTACATAATATTAAGTATATATTTTTATCACACACAGTATTTTTTAGACTCTATAATATTAATATATTCTAAAACAAATTTTAACCAAGTCT
The DNA here is from genome assembly GCF_000001405.40 of Homo sapiens. Taxonomy (NCBI): domain Eukaryota; kingdom Metazoa; phylum Chordata; class Mammalia; order Primates; family Hominidae; genus Homo; species Homo sapiens. The sequence goes on from NC_000002.12 coordinate 58,201,477, forward strand.
GTTCTGTGACTAGACTACCTAAGCAGTAAGGCTGATCCCCAAGTAAATACATACAAATTGCAGCAGAGAAAGAGTGCCCACCCTCTGATGCATATATGTAATTTGTTTTTCAAGTAGTACTGATCTTGATTGACCAAAGCTGAGGAAGCCCTGGGCTGCTACTTTTGTAAAGCAAAGGTAATTCAGTACTGAATGCACTGTAAGCATTGCATAAAAATATACCTATAAAAACCAAAAAATTTATCTGGTTTACTTCTACTTATTTATTATTTACATATTTACTTTTAATAAAGGACATCTAGTCAAAATAGGTATTTGTTTTCTTTGTGAGTTTCTTGGAGATCGTGAGGGGAAGTGGTAGAATTGGGAAAGTATGTATTCCAGAATAAATAGAACAAATGCATTTATTTACTGTATATTTAAAAAATCAAGTAACAGAAATAAAGGTTTGTGTATTTATGAAAAAAGCCTACTTTGAGGTATGTTATTAATAAAAAAAATTCAGCATTCCACTTAAAACTTAGTTTGGATTAAGATTTTGCATAATATACTCTTAACATACAGTTAACGTTTCAACTATTAGTGTAGTTGACTGACAATCGCAGGCCCAATTTCTTTTTTTTTCCCTAAAATTTTTGTTTCCTAAAATATTTTTCAGTTAATATTCCTATATGTGGAGTTTTTGTTGTTGTAAATTACTTTTGAAAGTAAAAGTTTGACAATTAGTTGCTGGTGGTTTTATATATACCTATACCTTTTTCCTAAAAAAAAAAAAAAAAAAAAAAGACTTCCTGGTTTTCTTCAAATTCTCATGTTTCCCCAGTGATTACTAGGTAAATGATTAATATGCTGAACTTGTTTATTCTACTTATTTGTCCAAATTCACAATCTAGAACTAACTTTTTTTTCCTAAAAAAAAAAATTATCACATCTCAAAGACAGCTATGGTGTATATATGAAAGCTAAGCTAAATTGAGAAATAAAGATTCTAATAAATCATACCAACATAAGATTCAGTTACATGCTTTTGTTTTTCCAAAACAGTTTTTTTTTTCTTTTTTTGCCAAATTCCTTCCCAGCTTAAATAAAGCTTTCTCTTCTCTTTTGCAAGAATATCTATAAAAGTGCTTCGTAACTACAGATGTTGCAAAACTGACCCTGGAAAATATTCTCCAGAGAAATACTAAAAGCATCATCTTATCTACCTTGAAAAAGTATAGAAAAAAGCAGACAAAATGGACCATATTAAATTGTCACAACCTCACTCTGAATACTGCCAATAAATGAACTAAATGTCATCAACTTGGATTAAAATCTTGTAGGTATAGTTAAAGGCAGCACAAATTTACAGCAACATCTTCTTAGGAAGTAGAAGAGCTTGTAAAAATGAGGACAGGGTGTATTTAAAATCTTTAGTTTTGGTCTTCATAGAAAAACGGCTAATTTTACTAAGGTACAAAATATAAACAAATAGAGCTTTGAAGGAAATGACAGAACCCTTGCCACTGGCAACATGTGACCCTTTGGAAGGATAAAGGCAAATTTCTCTTAAAAAAAAAAAAAAAGCACACTTTTACAAACTAAAAAATAAAAATCTTTTCAATTTAATAAAAATAATTATCTAACTTATTTTACAAATAATGAGATTTCCATCCCACTAATTTTTTCCAAGACTTATCACATATGGATCTTAAAATTAGACCTACATACATATTCTGTGTGTGAGAGAATTAGTCATTTCTCAACCTGTCTGTTATAGAACCACTATAAGATATCAACTTTTCTGTGTCATCCAGTACAGCTTTAGATATTAATTTTCTCTTGTGGAAAGCTTAAATGCCAGACACATTTTTAAAAAGGACAAACACAATTGATCTTTTCATCACTACAATCTTCTGAAAAAGAGTTGATTGATTGACTCCAAGAATAATTAAAAAAAAAAAGTTGGACATCCTGGTTTTCTTCAAATTCTCATGTTTCTCCAGTGATTACTAGGTAAATGATTAATATGCTAAACTTGTTTATTTTACTTATTTGTCCAAATTCACAATTTAGAACTAAAAAATAAAGATGAAACAACCATGTTTTGTGCCAATAAAATTTGTGATTATAGATCACTATCCTATAAGGGATCTATAAATAGAGGCATAACCTCTGCAAATTCTTAAAATACTTAAAAAACCCCAGCCAAAGCAAACAAACTATAAAAAAGTATGCATATATGTTGTTTGTGTTAGGGAGTGGGGATCACAGATAAGAATAAGAACTACAAAAGAAATTTATAGTAACAGCTGAATGCAAAAGATTTTCTCAGTACAACTTGGGATAGTGGAAGTGTCCACTGTCTTCTACATGTTACATGTAGGATGTTACAAAATTAACACCATGGTACTCTGAGTCTATAAAATTGTAACTGTAGTATTTGTTATAAAGTCTGTATTTTGAGCAAATTTGGACTAAAATATGACATAAAACTGTCTAGGCTTTTGGAAACGTGGTGAATAAATTCTTTGAGGCTTTCCAAAATCAATGTTTTAAAGCATGATATATGTATTTTTAGATGTAACTAGCACTTCTTTACATTGAGAGCATTCACAGAGTTCATTTCACAAAGTATTTTCTGATCACAATAACAGTTTAACGAGGCACATACCTTTGCCTTCAACTTGAGAGTGATTAAATGCTCTCTACCAGAAGCATCTTCTGCTTTTAACTTGATGGTACTGAAGCAGGTATCCGCATACACAAGTCTGGTGAGCAGAGGAGAATAAAAAATGATCACACCGGGGAGAGCTGGAGAGGGGAACTGGAGATGGTTGAATTTGAAATGAAAATATTTGCTATATTCCTATTAATCCATTATAAAAATCAGAGCAATTTCTGCATGCCAACCCTTTCTGCTGCTATAGATTTACTGCCGTTCATATACCAGCCTAGCACTTAATGCAGTCATATATCTCTGGATTATTTACAATGTGTGTCAAGGCTCATGCTGTGGTCAGTGAGCACTATGTTTCAGTTTTCCATCACTGGAACCTTTGGCACACACAGCATGTTCCTGTCAGCCTCTACTTATGTACACATTAAACTTCCTGTCAAACTCTTTGATCCATTTCTGTAGTTTCATACAGTATGAGACTTTAATGCTCCCTTTGTTTTTCTCCTCAATGAACTTCTCCTATATTATCAATAATGTTACCGTACAAAAATCTAGCTGGTATTTGTTCATATACTCAAATTGATCCTCTAAGGAAAATGCTGTATAAGCACAGGTACAGCCTGGTCTCCTAACAATAAATTTTCTTTCTGCACGATATATAGCTTCTGACACTTAACCTATGCATGTATTCAAGATGACTAATATTCTAAACATATAGCACAAGCACAACTGCTTTGGCTTTAAGTTACCCTAAATGCATGAATTTTCTACAATGGAAACCAATATCCTTTGAAATATATAATTCTGTAAAAATACGGTCCCTTGAGTAGCATAAGCTACTGCCAAAAAGGTTCAAATTTAGCAGTATATTTACTAGTGAACTGGGCATATGGATATTTTTGACATTTTTACAATGCTATTCTCTTATAAAGATAAAAAGTAGTCTAAGAGTATTGCAAAACTTATCACCCAGGCTGATAGTAAGACCCATTGGAGTTCAGAATATAAGCCTCCTAACTTAGGAAATATATTTTTTAATATCACTATATGCCATTTAGATACTGACCAGGTACTATATAATGATAACATGGGCTAATTTCAAGAAATGCACAATGAAGTTGTGAAACACTGTAATGAAAATATGTCTAAATCTGAAGATATCTATCTTCAATAATACAATGGAAATTTTATCATAATCTGTAGAAAGTCTAGGGTCTTAGAAAACAAAACTATTCTAGAAAGTGTTTTATACACATAAAAATAACAATGACTATATTTTCTTTCAGCTATATCTGTAAATGCTTCACCTCCAAAAAAAATTAGAATGTCTTTATCACGTTTTACCATATGACTCTGAAGTTCAGATATATCAATACCTGACTCTTAAAACTCCCACACTTCAGATTCAAGATGTTAAGCACATGCATTTATATTCTCTACTTCCAGAAAAATTAATCATTTAAAAAATGTTTCAAAGGTATAAACCTACAGTTACAAAAAAAGAAGAAGGAATAGTATTAATTGAAGCAAACTTCAACAACTTTTAGGAAAATGTAGAGTAGTTAAAAGAGCACTGGCTGATAAAACAGAAAAGAAGAGAGAACAAGGACTCCAGGCAGAAACAGCTGGCAAAAATGCAGTGTTCAGGATAGAGAGTATGACTGATATACTGGCAGAAATTATGGGAATTTTTAAGTGCATGATAAAAGGGGGAAGAAGAAACTTTAAACCAAATTATAAACAATAAAACTGCATTAAAAATGGTAATTACTCTGCCACTAACTTTTCAGTTAAAAATATTTATGTAGTCGTAAAAAATTAAACTGTTACTAGTTACAATTTTTAGAATCCAAGAATACGCAATGCTAAAAGACTTAATTATAGTTATAGAGACTAATGTAAATATATTTGACTACTACAATTTAAAATGAAGAATTGACAAAAATTGGGAAGTAGAAATGGGAAAGATACCAGAATGGAAAATTAGAAACAATAAAATCTGTAATTGCTAATTTGAAAGTCAAGAGATACCATCTTTAATTGAATGGACGTGAAAGAGGTTTAAGAAACAGTAAAGCTAATGGAAAAATAAAAAAGAAAAGCAAAAGAGAAATAATACATTAGCTAAATTCTTTTTCATTAATCAGTTCATAATTCCTAAAAAATAAAGAAATATTGCATGTAGGCAGATTATTTAGAAACATGGAAGTTGTAAACATGAATATTTCAAAGTATTTGTCTCAAAGAATAAGACTGGGGATAGAAAATAATATGGGAGACTGCTTTTCTTTATAAGCCTTAAATAGTTCATAACCATGATGAATATAAAGAGGGAGAGAGAAGGCATGCACGTTTAAGAGGGGTGGAAGAAAAAACTACATCACCACCTACTACTTTCTGTACTTCACATTGTTGCTCACCATCACAATGTTTAAAATCATTTTTTAACATCTATAAAATAACACAGAAATAAAAGCTCTTTAGTTCTTTGTTTGTAATCACATAACATAAAATTATCATCATCCCACAATGTAAGTCAGAGAGGTAATACACTACAGAAAAAGTGCCACGCTCAAAAATATGGCCTGTAAGCCAAAATGGCCATGAGGTTGATTTTGTTAAACTTTAAGACGCAATTTAAATAAAGCAGTAAAAAACATTTATACTTTCAGATTAATATCAGCATGGCCATTTAAAATCAAGGTACATTTTACCCATGCTGCTTCCTGGTCACTTTGTTTGGGGCACAGAAAGAAACCTTACTGTGATTATTAATAGGTTGAGTATATGCGACCTTGATTGTCAATTGCCCTCTAGTATTTAACTTACCTTCTCCAGTTTGGTAATAGGATCCCTGCCCCCACTCAACTCTCAATAAAACCAAGTTTTAGCAGGATCCACTTCACCCAGCTAGTGACTTGTCCTAGCTGCCCTTGCAAGGAGGTGTTGGCATATAACTACATTTTGGCCAGTGGACTACAAGCACAAGTGATGTGTGCTTTTGGGGGTTCATTTATAACAGAACTATGCTTTCCTCTCTTCCCTCCTCTTACTCTCCTTTCCTGTAGACTACAATTTGGACAGGCCAATATGAGCTAGCAAAGATCATGAGGACAGGAACAACACTCTATAAAGCAGTAACCAACACAACACTCTGTGATGATGAAGGTATGACATATCTGCACTGTTTAAAACGGTAGCCACCAGCCACGTGTCTATGAGGGACTCAAAATGTGGCTAGTGGGTTTTTTAGTTAAGTTAATTTAAATGTAAATGTCAATAGCCACACATGGCTACTGAACAATGCAGTCACAGCGGATGGCTGAGAAACAAAAGAAACCTGGATTCTTGAATGTCCTTGTGAAGAGAGGCACCAACCCACTCTTGACCATCTGCCTACCTCTGAATTGTTAAATGAGAGATGAATAAAATTCTACCTTGTTTCAACTACTGAGGATTTACATTTCTCTTTGTTAATAGTGGCCTAGCCTATGATATAACTAATAGAGACTATTTGTATCAATTTATGACAGAAAAAAATATCTTGGTGTTTGGTGTATGGAAGAGATCTTAAAGGAAAAAAAGAGTGATAAACTCTTACAAGTGGTATCAAATCAGTTTGTCTAAGGAAGTCTGTTTCATGTCGGGCATAATGACTCATGCCTATAATCCCAGCACTCTGGGAAGCTGAGGGGAGGATTACTTGAGCCCAAGAGTTCAAGACCAGCCTGGGCGACACAGTGAGACCTCATCTTTACAAAAATCTTTTTAAAACTAACTCGTCATGGTGGCGTGCACCTGTAGTTCCAGCTATTCAGGAAACTGAGGCAGAAGGTTTGCTTGAGCTGAAAAGTTTGAGGTTGCAGTGAGCTATGATGGCACCACTGCACTCTGGCCTTGGTGAAAGACAGAGACCATGTCACTAAATTTTTTTTAAGTCTATGTTAAGTTGGACGTCTCACTTTAGACAACAGGAAATAAATAACTTTCATTCACTTAAATAAAATATAAATCATTCAAATAATGATTTAGGAAACAATCATCATTGGAAAGCTCAAATTTTTAAATAAAATGCTAGCAATAAGCCCACAAAATAAGAATTAAGATTTGTATTTAGAAGGAGTTTAGATATTATCACTAAGCTAAGCATATTCTAAAATTGACAAAGCAAATATAAAACTGAAGTATAAAATCTAAAGAAATAAAATATTTTACTTTTGGCACTCCACTTTGTATTTATCATTTGCTATATTTCTTTATAAGTTAAATTTTTTAAACATTTAAAATGTTTGTTAATAATAAAGCTTCAGGGATGTTTTTGTTGTTGTCCCTGTTAATAGCTGAATGTCAACAAGTAAAACAAAGTAGAAGAAATGTGTTTTACATAGCTCATAAAATACTGCACTTATATTGACCAAGAGTTTAAGTTATTTAGCTTTTATTTTCTTTAGCCATCTAGATGCATTTAAGTAGTATTAACATCAACAGGCAGACTGCTTCAAAAGACAGACTGAAGACCTTCATGTTTGAATAAAGCATCCAAGTTTCCACTTTTATTGCCACTCTCAAGTTTAAGCATTAACTACTTCATATCTGGATTACTAGAAACAATCTTCCTAATGCGTGTCTTTACTTCGTCTCTGTACACCAATCCATTCTGCCTTCTGTGTCTAATCTTCCTAAATACATTTTTAATCATATCAATCCCTTGCTCAAAAATATTCAATGAGTCCCTATCACCTGCATATAGAGAATCATTAGCCTCGTAGTCAAGACCCCTCTGTTTAGCCCTAATATGTTAATCCCCTTATGTGAGCCACTGATCTACTCCAAAGTCAAAAAATAAATTGCACATTTCTATTGCTACAACCTTGCCTTCACCATTCCTTCCCTTTAAAGGCTCTGTATATTCCTTCAAAGCTTATCCCAACATTCATCTCCTCTAAGAACTCTCCTAAATTATTTGTAGCCCAAAATGCTTCAAATTCCTCCAAACTCACATTGCTCCTTTTCATGTAAGTTTTAGCTTGCCAAACACATAATAAACTTTTTAATAAGGAATATGAAAGCTTTATATTCCTATGTATGTGTCAGTGTACCATGTTCCATGTATATATGACAATGTAGAGGATGTTGTCAGACTGGTTCACATTTACTGATTCATGTGTAAGTTTCAAACAATAGCTGAAAGCAAACTGTTTTAATTAAATACTGTTAAGCATATTACCAACCTAGAAAAACATGATTTTTTTTTTACTACTAGATAATTTGCAGTTATTCAATGACATGGATTTATGTATGAAGAAAAATCATCCTATTTATAAAGGTTTTCAGTTTAACTGAAAACCATACTGGTTAATGTCTATGCTATTATGTTTTACAAAAAATTATCATTATTGGTTGTAATTAAGTCATAACACTAATTAAGTACTATAAAACTCAGAGGCAGTCTGACAGTCAGTTGAACTAGTATCTCAACAACTTGATACACCTACTTTACACTAGGAACTATATGAGTCACATAACATGCCTCTTTGAAATCTTTATTATTAGGCATTATTAGCTTCCTTTAAAAAATGAAAAAATGTGACTTAAAGAGATTAAGTTTGCCCAAGATCACACAGCAGATAAGCAAGAATTAAAGCTCTGGTATAATTATTGGAATGAATTTAGTATGAACAAGGATCTCCATTTCCCCAATATGTTAAAAATCTTCAAATGCATTAACAATTATACAAAATATCACCATTAATCAGCTTCTAAGATAGTGGGCTTAATCAAAAACCTACCAATATATGTTGACAATCTCCCAGTTCGCACATCAGATTTAGTAAAACTCAGTTAGCTCTTTCCCAAGACAAACTTGAAAAGTTCAACTAGTTGAAGTGTACTCACTCTAGACTCTAAATGATAAATAATATATTGTTTAAAAAGGACAAAAGTATCAGCACATTTCTACTAGAACCATTTAACTTCTGAATTATCTAGGAACATATGATTATTACAATAAATGTATCTTATAAAGTGTATTAGTCTGTTTTCATGCTGCTAAGACACACCCAAGACTTGGCAATTTACAAAAGAAAAAGGCTTAATTGGACTCACAGTTCCATGTGGCTGGGGAAGGCTCACAATCATGGTGCAATGCAAGGAGGAACAAGTCCCATCTTACACGGATGGCAGCAAAGACAGAATAAGGAAGATGCAAAAGCAGAAACCCAATAAAACCATCACATCTCATGACACTTATTCATTACCATGAGAACAATATGGGGGAAACCGCCCTCCCACAACACATGAGAACTGTGGGAGTACAATTCAAGATGAGACTTGGGTAGGGACACAGAGTCAAACCATATCATTCTACCCCTGACCCCTCCCCAAATGTCCTCACATTTCAAAACCAATCATGCCTTCCCAACAGGCCCCCCAAAGTCTTAACTTATTTCATCATTAACTCAAAAGTCCACAGTCCAAAGTCTCATCTAAGACAAGGCAAGTCTCTTCCACCGATGAGCCTAATAAAATCAAAAGCAAGTTAGTTACTTCCTAGATACAACAGGGGTATAGGCATTCGATAAATACAGCCATTCCAAATGGGAGGAATTGGCCAAAACAAAGGAGCTACAGGCCCCATGCAAGTCCAAAATCCAGCAGGGCAATCAAATCTTAAAGCTCCAAAATGATCTCCTTTGACTCCATGTCTCACATCCAGATCATGCTGATACAAGAGTTGAGTTCCCATGACCTTGGGGAGCTAGACCCCTGTGATTTTGCAGGGTATGGCACCCCCACCCGGCTGAGTTCATGGGCTGGTGTTGAGTGCCTGTGGCTTTTCCAGGCACAGTGTGCAAGCTGTCAGTGGATCTACCATTCTGGGGTCTGGAAGATGGTGGCCCTCTTCTCACAGCTACACTAGGCGGTGCCTCAGTAGGGACTCTGTGTGGGGACTCCAATCCCACACTTCCCTTCCGCATTGTCCTAACAGAGGTTCTCCATGAGGGCCCCACCCCTGCAGCAAACTTCTGCCTGGGCATCCAGGAATTTCCATACATCTTCTGAAATCTAGGCGGAGGTTCTGAAACCTCAGTTCTGGACTTCTGTGCACCCACAGGCTCAACAACATGTGGAAGCTGCCAAGGCTTGGGGTTTGCACCCTCTGCAGCCACGGCCCAAGCTCTACACTGGCCCTTTTCAGCCACAGCTGGAGCAGCTGGGATGCAGGGAACCAAGTCCCTAGCCTGCACACAGTGCTGGGACCCTGTGCCCACTTTTTCCTCCTACACCTCCAGGGCTGTTATGTGAGTGGCTGCCGTGAAGACCTCTGGCATGCCCTGGAGACATTTTCCCCATTATCTTGGGGACTAACATTTGGCTCCTTGTTACTTATGCAAATTTCTGCAGCTGGCTTGAATTTCTGCTCAGAAAACGGGATTTTCTTTTCTATCACATTGTCAGGCTGCAAATTTTTTGAACTTTTATTTTATGCTGTTTCCCTTTTAAAACTAAATGCTTTTAATAGCACCCAAGTCACCTCTTCAATGTTTTGCTGCTTAGAAATTTCTTCCACCAGATACCCTAAATCATCTCTCTCAAGTTCATAGTTCCACATATCTCTAGGGCAGGGGCAAAATACCACCAGCCTCTTTGCTAAAACATAACAAGAGTAACCTTTGCTCCAGTTCCCAACAAATTCCTCACCTCCATCTGAGACCACCTCAGCCTGGACCTTACTGTCCATATCACCATCAGCATTTTGGGCAAAGCCAAGCAACTAGTCTCTAGGAAGTTCCAAACTCTCCCACATTTTCCTATCTTCTGAGCCTTCCAAACCGTTCCAACCTCTGCCTGCTACCCAGTTCCAAAGTCGCTTCCACATTTTCAGGTATCTTCTCAGCAATGCCCCACTCTACTGGTACCAATTTACTGTATTAGTCTGTTTTCATGCTGCTGATAAAGACATACCCAAGATTGGGCAATTTACAAAAGAAAGAGGTTTAATTGGACTTACAGTTCCACATGGCTGGGGAAGCCTCACAATCATGGTGGAAGGCAAAGAGGAGCAAGTCCCATCTTACATGGATGGCAGCAGGCAAAGAGAGAATGAGGAAGATGCAAAAGCAGAAACCCCTGATAAAACCATCAGATCTCCTAAGACTTATTCATTACCATGAGAACAGTATGGGGGAAACTGCCCCCGTGATTAAATTATCTTCCACCGGGTCCCTCCTGCAACACATGGGAATTGTGGGAGTACAACTCAAGATGAGATTTGGGTGGGGACACAGGGGATACAGAACCAAACCATATCATAAAGTGATATGTATTTCTTCCAAACTGGGACATATTTGAGACTGACAGGGGCCAAAACAAAAAGCATAAATTAGGGCTGTCCTAGGCAAAATGGTATGCATGATAAGCTACTCAAAGCAAAAGTATTTGGTACTTTCAACTCTAGGATACTCTTAATACCAAACAGAAAATCTTGTTAAACACAAAGGACTGTTTAATTCTTATTTTTTTAATAGGCCATTCTGTAAAACAACATGGGCAGAAGTTAACAGAAACCCACCAAGACATCATTTTGTATCACTTACCTTTGTGAGCCAGTGTTACACCCAAAATAACCCAGACCTGTCATACCATCTTCACGTTAACCTTTGGGGAAGTTGCTGTTTTGACTGTGTTTTTATAGAAATTGAAATAAGAACAGAAATTATAACAATAGCAATCAAACTTAAGGTCAACTACTAATTCTCAATATTATTTCCATATTTCTTTCTAAGGAAAGAAAGGGAAGCTTTCATCTTATTTTAAATATTTCTTTTTCTTTTCCAACTTAGAATTTGTATAATGTCTAATCCTATAGAGTTGATTAGAAATACCAAATATGTAATTTAAAAACACAGCAAGGCCAGCATTATCTAACAAGGATTTTTCTGTATCAGATTTTATGATTATACTGACAAATCTACAAGATTATTATTTAGAGTGTAAGGAAAATACAGACTTATTGACAGAGTCTAGAAATCATTAAGATTCTGTAAATACATTTAAATCAATCTGTCATGCAAATCATTGTGTGTGTCATTTCAAAAGATAATTTAAATTAAGAATTTAGCCAGCTCCTCAGGCGGGGCCTTAAACAGTAGCAATTCTAGTATGTGGACAGCACAGTTCAGGTCTCAGCTTTAGATCAGCAGGTCCTGAAACCCAATTTTATCAGTGTATGTGTGTACCAGACCTAATTTAAGAGTTAAGCCATAAAAATAAAGTTGATAGGTTTTGTCACTCTACCAGACAGTAATGGATTAACACAAACAGAATTATCTTCTTTGGCTTCTCACAATCCATGCACACCACTTCTCTTCTGCTAAAACATTCTTTATTTTTAAACAGTATAAAACAAATGATTAAGTAACAGCAGCTAAATCGAAAGTCATTTATTCATCCTAGGCCAGGCATGGCAGCGAACACCTGTTAATCCCAGCATTTTGGGAGGCTGAGGCAGGAGAATCATTTCAGCCCAGGAGTGTGAGACTCGCCTGGGCAATACAGCAAAACCTTGTCTCTTAAAAAAGAAAAAAAAAAAAAAAGAGAGGGAAAAAAAGTCATTCATCCACCTTAGTAACTATAATTAAACTATAATCTTTCACAAATCTACGCAACAGATTTTGAAACTCTCCAAGGGTGTGTTAATTTTGCAAATCGTCCATTTTATTCGTGGTAAGATACTTTTTATTAGTTTCACCCTCAATGTGTGACTATCTCCAGGTAGTTGGGGAGAATTTATTAAAGGCTCCATATCGGAGCTGCCCTATGGGACAACTCTAGGGAGCATCATTCACACAGAATGCCTGAGTGGTGTTATGTACCCAGCCCTGTCTATATACACTTGTTTTATAGAAAAAGTTGGAAATAAAAATATTTATCCTAAAATTTATCCTGAGAAATTAAATAAGAATACATGAAGCACCTAGCACAGTCAGTGGCACACAACAGAAACTTCATAAACAACAGTCCCAGTATGTAACAATCTTAGTGAAAAAAGGAGGCAATTATATTGTGATAAGTGACATATGATAGAGATATTCATATCCTTATTTTTGGCTTTCATCTATTATCGAAGTTAGAAATCTGTTCCTTTTTCTCCTACATTAGAACAATGGGTATAATACAAAGCAAAAGACAACACTTTCTATTTAGCTCACAAAACACTTACTCCATATTTTATATACTTGACTATTTCTCTTATAACTCTCAAGAATCCTATAATTATACTCTACCCTTCTTATCGTGGTCATAATTCAGTATTACTATGATCAACTACCTAAATTCTGACTCTTCCACTAGATATAAGTTCCATGAGGAATCTTTATTGTTGTTGCTCTTGTTGACAGGGTCTCACTGTCACCTAGACTGAAGTGCAGTGGTGTGATCTCAGCTCCCTGCAGCCTCGACCTACCCAGGCTCAAGTGATCCTCCCACCTCAGCCTCCCGAGAAGCTAGGTGCGTACCACCACACCTAATTTATTTATTTATTTATTTTTGTATTTTGTAGACACGGGGTTTCACCATGTTGCCCAGGTTGGTCTCAAACTCCTGAGCTCAAGTGATCTGCCCCACCTCAGCCCCCCAAAGTACTGGGATTACAGGTGTGAGCCACCACACCTGGCCCATGAGGAATCTTAAGTCTTGCCTTATGTATCCTTAGTGCTTTACATTATAGGAAGTCCATAAATATTATTAGCAGGGTAAAAAAATGAGTGATTCAAAAATCTCATATCACATCCTTAACGCTTCAACTGATTTTTCTTATTGCACTTCTCTCAACCATGTCAGATCCACTGAGGTAGGCTGCCTCAAACTCACCATCTCAATACAACAGAAATAAAACTAGAACATTTCCTCTGTCCTTGACAAACCCTTTCTACATTTCCAACTATGCTCTAAAAAACAAATATTAACATTAAGCATCTGAAGATAAGTCAAAATAATATTTCTTTATTCCATCAATCTATACCTAAAGAATGACTAGGTCCATGACATCAATGCCTCAAAACTAATCATAACCTCAGCAGGAACTGCTGCTAGGGCATCTCAACTTTTTGCTTGTCTTCCCTGTCTCTCCTCACCATTGTTATGCTTAATTTTATTTAAAAGGCTCCAACCATCCCAAATCCTACTCAAGACTAATGTCTTAATAAATAAAGCCTAATCTCATGAATAAATATCAACCAGTCCTCAATATCATAATATAGTACACTTACAATTATATGTAACATCTATTTCTGGCCTAAATGGAATAGCTTGCTAAAGACCAACACTTCTACAGTGAACAACTAAAGTAGGCTGATAAAAAGAAAATGGGGGAAAAAAATTGAAAGCATCAAAGAATTGCTAAACTGACCAGGCCTTGAAGGGCCAAAGTCCTAAAGAAGAGGGAACAGAAGTGAAGTAAGCCAACATTCTGAAGCCATTTTCCTCAATATATTTATCAATTCTGGCACAGGGCAAGAGAAGAAGGATCTGGGCAAAGAGCCCAGATTGAGAGCTGCTATTAAGTGGCAAAAAAAAAAAAAAGCATCATTTCCGCCAATCTCTTGAGGATAGAGAGAGAAAAATAACAGACTGGAAAGGCCAGAATCTGGGGAAAGGTAGGCCCAGAACCTGGCCTAACATTCTGCCAATATTCCCTCAAAACTTCTGATAAATCCTTAAACTGTAGGGAATAAGAGGATAAAAAGTCAAGCAGAAAGGCAATGAAAAACAAGATTTAGAAAGTTCATAATACAAGGAGAAATTAATTGGAATTCAGGGCCTACCAGTGAGACAAAGTCTCAGTGAATACCCCAGGATCTCTGTGGGAACTCTTGAAAGACTGCTCCTAAAAGCAATGCTAACAAAAAGTGATAGAGCTTTGTCAAAAATGGACCCCAAACTGTAATTGAGAGGTCTTGTGGAGACACAAAGGTTAGAGTTTAGGATCTACCAGGGGGGAAATCCCAATGAATATACCTGGCTCTTGCTTGGAAGCTCTAAAGGGTTATAGCTTGAGACAGGAAGGGCAGCAATCAGAGGTAGACTGACCTCTATGAAAACTACAACCCATCCTGAACCCACTTGGGCCCTTTGCCAATCTGTTCCCAGTCTATCTTCCCAGGAAGAGAAAAGCTAAACCCTGTACAGAAGAAAATAATATCATCTGGGGCCTCTAAACTATTTTATGTGCAATATCCAACAGTAAACATAGCACTACATAGCACTGAAGTCTGAATAGCCAAGGGCAAATGCAGCAGGGGCAATGAGAAAAGGTACACTAACTAGTATGCCTCCAAATTAAGCCAGTTTCCTCATTTATCTCCTTTCACCAGTTCTTTTGAAAGAAAGAATAGTTACCTTATTGAGCAGAGACAAGATTTAAGATTTTACATTTTTTGTTACAGAACATTTCAATTCTGTATTGAATCAGTTATGAAAATAAAGAAAAGTAGAGAAAAACCCTTTAGTTTTCAAAAAGTATTAGGGATGCCAAAATATAAGATCATATGACAATAAACCATACACAAAAAAGTGAAAACAGAATGCACACTGTCCACCTTCCCATTCACACACAGGTACCTTCATACCTTGACCTCTGACCTCACCTACAACTGGGATGTACCTAGAGATGTGGGGTAGTTCTCCTTACCGCCCAGGTTGGAATCCAAGCACGGGGGTAAAGCGGGTGAGGAGAAGAGGCTCGCTTCTCTACCATCCTTCATGATTCCTGACCCCCCAATCCTTTTTCCCATTTCCTTTGATGTTATTTTATTACAGCTTTTTAAATATTTTTAAAAAATTATTTAACCCTTGGCAGCAGAGACTAAGGAGGGGAATAAGGAATTGCAGACTCTGTATGACTGAAATAAAGAGAAATAAAAACAACAGAAAGGGATCCAGAATACAGGACTTTGAAAAAAATACACACACACACACATTACATATATATATATTTTTATATATAGATTTATATATATATTTATATATTTTATATATATATATATATATATATATATATATATATATATATATATATATACACACACACACACACACACACACACACATATATATGTTTGGCTAAAACAAGAGGAATTTATTCTCTCATAGTTCTGGAGGCCAGGGGTTCCACATCTGTTCACTGGGCAAAAATCAAGGTGTCAGCAAAGATGTGCTCCCTCTGGAGGCTCTAGGAGAGAATCTATTCCTTGCCTCTTCCAGTTTCTGGTGGCTGCCAGCAAGAAAAATATTTTAAAACTATGAAAGAAAATAGAGAAAAAGAGGAAGAATTTCAATACAGCATTAAAATCTGTTTTAAAAAAATGCAAATGGTAAAGAGCAGTTTTTAAAATATGTAACTAATTAGCTTGTGTAGTTATAACAAAGTAGACATTAAGACAAGAATATTTCTAGAGATGAAAAGAAACATGTCCTAATAACAAAAGGGAAAACCAACAAGGAAGATATAGCAATTATAAATCTGTATGTACCCAATAACATGACTGCAAATAGACATAAAGCAAAATTTTGAGGAACAAAAACAATTCCAAAAATTCACAATCATATTGGGAGAATTTAACACAGCTCTCTCCAGAGCTCTCAGGACAAGCGGACAAAAAAAAAAAATAAATCATTAAACATATTGGATATCTGACACACATAATTAATAAATGTGAGGAATGAATAAAAGCAAAGCACTGTACCCAACAAGAGATTACATACTCTTCTTAAGTGGAAATAGAACACATACCAAAATTGACAAGGTGCTGGGTCATAAAGCAAGCCTCAGTAAACTTCAAAGTATTGAGATAATTAAAAGGATGATTTCTGACAAAAGTAGACTTAAACTGGAACTCAATAACCCAAAAATCTCCAGTTGTTTGAAAATTAAGAGATATACTAAATAAGTCAAAAGAAATCACAATGAAAATTAATATTTTTAACTGATAGTAATAGAAATATAACATCAAAACTTACGGGATCAAGCTAAAATTGCTTACAAATTTACAGCCTTAAATTAATATATAATAAAGTAAGATAAACTGGAAAAAAATCAATGACCTACATATCCATCTCAACAAATTACAAAGGAAGCAAATCTAAAAAAATTAAATTCTTAATAAGCAGATATTAATGATAAAAAAATATACAACAGAGAAAATTAACAACGCTAAAAGTTGGGTCTTTGAAAAAACTTAAATAATTGATATGGCTCTTGCAAAACTGATTAAGAAAAATTAAAAAGGCACAAAAAACTCATGTGGAAAGAAAAAGGCAGCATCACTATAGATCCTAAAATCATTTTTTAAAATGAACGTAGGATGAAACAGAGAATGTGACAAAACAATCTGTGTTACAAATATGGGAAAGAAGT
Organism: Homo sapiens; assembly: GCF_000001405.40. Lineage (NCBI taxonomy): Eukaryota > Metazoa > Chordata > Mammalia > Primates > Hominidae > Homo > Homo sapiens. The sequence goes on from NC_000002.12 coordinate 58,218,552, forward strand.
ACATTGAAGTGGGTGGAGGAAATGGTTCTAACCTAAGTAACTGAAAATGAGTGAAGCCTATAAAGGCAAAAAAAAAAAAACTATAAAAATAAGCATTGTATAGTTGATAAAGTTGTCACCCATGGAGGTACAGATTAATAATTCTGATAGTGCTCTGCACGTATACTGCAACTGAACAATTAAGTAAATGGATAACAGATAATGGGAGCTCGGTTTCTCCCTGTTGGAGTATGAGATTTCAGATATACCAAGCAAGTGGGCTACAAAACTACATATGGTAATGGACTGGAGTTGTAGACATCAGTATAAAATCATGTTTACCTTAATACAGATATAAATGGTTATATACAAAAACATTTACAAGTATGTACACGAGTTAGTATAAACACATTTGTTTTCCATTTTTCAGCTAAGAAGGCCTAGAAACAACAACACACCAATAGCAACAAGCACCCATAGTGCCCACATCCTAGTTTCTAATACCACTCACAAATAAAAGCAACCAGGACTCCTTGGAAAAATGGCTGATTCTAGGAAAGGGCAGGAAATATACAAAATTTCTTTCAGTGCCAGAAAGTAAATACATGCTAAAAAAAAAAAAAAAAAAAAAAAAAAAAAAAATATATATATATATATATATATATATATATATATCCACAATGATGAGGCCTGTCAAAAGGACACAGGAGCCAACTGAAAGAGCTCTCAATGGCCAAAGCTAGAACAAATTGAGCAAGAAAATAAAATAGTATTTGATTATAACCCAAAGTATAAAATAAATATCCATGAGTCCATAGTATTTCAAATAAATGACTGAAAAAACAAATAAATGAGAGGGAACAAAATCTGAGCAGAAAAATTCCAAATCTGTGTAAATACTGTGCCCTAAAGGAGGTGTGAGCGTAACTGCCCACTCCTGAAGTGTGAGCTACATATAGTGACTTCCAAAGAGTAAAGTGTGGAGAGAGAGAAAAAAACAGTAACTTTACGGTGCAGAAACCCGACAAATACTACCTCACCAGGTAATCAAGATCAAGATCAACAGTGATGAGTCACAGAGATAACATGTACCCTTGATATGAAGAGAAGAATCACAGGAGAACAAAAGTCAGGTAAGATTAGCATACAGAAATATAAATCCTATATCCAGCATGGCTCTAAAAAGTGTGCCAAAAATTTGACTCTAAATTTCCTAGAGGCCAAGTCAAAGAGAACATAGTCAATTACATAGTTCACATTATTCATTAAGTGGCAGGTTGGATAGTCAGGCAAAGCATGACTTTTCTAGCATCTGAAACAGAATAAAACTTCTTTCATGGCTTCTCATAAAGATAGTGCTATTATCATACAATGGAAGACATCCAAACATAAAATCCCTACTGCATATCTTAGGACTATTTCATACAACATCCTTTAATCCAAGTCAGTGGCATCCTCAAGAGCAATTATACAAGAGAGCAAAATAAAGTAGCTCGGTTCTAATATCCATGGGTAAAACTGAGAAAACATATAAAATAAGATTACAGAGACTTTAAGCAGTCCATCTGCAGTGAAACACTATTACATGCAATCGCGATTTTAGTAAGGTTTTAACAGTTGAAATCCGAGGCTGTAATTTTTATCAAGACCAGGATTTAAATAACTTGGCTCTTAAGTACAGATCGTACACACTTTGACTCTTAATCAGGGAGGCGGTAAGGAAAACGGTAAGGTAAAGAAGTATTCATAAAAAATTAAGTCTACATAAAGTCATGACTGAAGGAATGGCTAACCTATCTCTGCACATAGGTGCACCAAAAGAGGTATGGCCCACTCAGTCAAATTTTAGTGGTTAAAACAAAAGGGAAAAAATTGATCTACACATAAGAAGAGAAACTGTTCTAAATAAAAGCCTTTTAAGGAATATAAAGGGAAGTAGAAGGCAAAGGCAACGAAAATAATTCTTATTTCTGTAATAATCACAGTGCATTTTTATCACCTCTAGAAACAAATTTACATGGGAACAATTTGGAACTCTAAAATATGTTTAAGTCTCTATTTAGTTTTTCTTTAGTTATCAGGTAATGGTATAAAATATATTAAAGGACATATATTCTGCACTTAAGATATGTTCCTTGTTCTCTTTTAAATGGCGATTTGATTTTCTGGTTCTTTTTAGGTTAGTTATCAAAAGGCCAACTCATAGAAAATAGCTAAAAAACAGATGAATAATAAGATGTTTAAAACATATTAAGAAAAACTTAGTGGTGAAAAATTGCACATTCCTTCCACATTGTACCTAAGTTAGCCCTCGATTTATCTTAGTAATAGGGCAATCTAAATGGAAATAATAAATGAATACTAAAATACTATTGATAACGGTTAAGAAGTGATAAGAATTGCCGGGCGTGGTGGCTCACGCCTGTAATCCCAGCACTTTGGGAGGCTGAGGCGGGCGGATCACGAGGTCAGGAGATCGAGACCGATCCTGGCTAACACGGTGAAACCCCGTCTCTACTAAAAATACAAAAAATTAGCCGGTCGTGGTGGCAGGCGCCTGTAGTCCCAGCTACTCGGGAGGCTGAGGCAGGGGAATGGCGTGAACCCGGGAGGCGGAGCTTGCAATCAGCCTAGGCAACAGAGCGAGACTCGGTCTCAAAAAAAAAAAAGTGATAAGAACTAAAAATTGGCATATTTTTACTGGTGCTTTAGCTCAAAGTAGAAAGGTTATAATACACTTAATAATAAATGTAATGTTTCAAAGTATCCACACTAAGAAGGAAGCTAAATTCAGAAACTGAATAGCAAACAAATCATCACATACTTTTTCCAGGTGGTATGTGGATTAAGTTTTAACAACTTGCATACACGTTTACTGAACTTAAGTTTCTTTATGCATCAGTTTTAAAAAAAAAATCATTTTTTTCAAAGAAAGCTGGATGATTCTTACAAACCCTAGTTGCTAAAATTTACCACTCAAATTACAAAAGCACTTATAATGTTATATATATGTAAATTTAGACATGCCAAATTGTATATTAACCAAAAATAACAATTATTCCAGAAATACTGCAATTTTTCCAGTCTCTTTCATGTGTCTCAGCATTACTCTTCAAACATGGAAAATTTAGAATACAGTTGTATGTTCAGTGAAAGTATCTATTACGGTAACATCTTACTGTGTACATAAAAATGTCATTTTTTCCAAATTATATTTAGCATTTTACTTTGTAAGGCAATTTTTTATGATGATATCCCTCTCTTTAATTCACAGCAACAATAAGGATCAAATACTCTAGTTACAATTAAACACTTTGACTAAAATCAGGTATAAACTGCTAAAACTAGAAATACATTAAGTTAAAATATATAAAACAAAGGCATTTAAAACATATTTTAAAACAGACATACTTATCCCAACCAAGAGTTCCTATCTCTTCAATAAGGCTTGAGTAGAACTGGGGAGGAGGAGGTAGTGCATACAGCTCTTGTCTATTCTTTAAGGCAACTTCCTGTTTAAAAGAAGAAAACCTGAATTAGCTGTGGAACGCAAGACAATGAACTGTTAATACCTGATTGCAAAACATAATTTCATTATCTTCTTAGTGCCTAATAAAAGTGCCTGTTTTTTTACGGAAATCTGGCTGACTCATTCCCCTGCTCATGAAAAAGAGACAAGAAAAAGTTAAAGGACTGCACTGAAGGTCATGCAAAATGTCAATTTTTATGCCATGAAAATAACTTGAGATTTTAATATTCTCCTGGACTATTATGCCTATCGGAGATAAAAAAAAAATTTTTATTAAATTCATCCTCAAGGCTTCACTATGGCTCTATTCCCATGAATATGATGTTTGATATATACATTTTTTAAAAAGTACCTCTAAAGAAAGGCCTGAACTCTAAGTACATTACCTAAACTGACATATTTGTATACCATTATGAACCACATCCTAACAAACAAACTCATTATCAGAACAAATATCCACATGCTAATTTTTTTCACTGACTTATACTCTGTACTATTCTTCAAGCAGGTAAGTCGGAGTATTATGCCATCCATCTGGCTAGATTACAGTCCCGTTCCTTGCTAGGCCTATCTATGAAGGCTTTAAAATGTTTATGTTCTCCCAACCAAAACTAAAATTTTTTACAAGACACATAAACATCACTAGAATTGCTGAAGCTAAAATTACCAATTATTTTGAAGTTACCAACCTAGATAGACAGCTTATTTGGAAAGTAAAAATAAATCTATCTACAAATTACTTAGATGTTCATATGGTCTGAAGTATCAAACGGTATTACAAAAAGTAAATAATTAATTAATTAAATAAATCAGCTACAATAAATAACGAAAGTAGATAGGGACAAGTTGAAAATTATAAACACTTCTGAAAAATATAATCCTAATAAAAGGTTGTAATTTTTATTCTTTTAAGTATATGTTTAATCTTATTTTTTAAGTATATATCAATTTTTTTTAACCAGGATAGGACACTATCAAATTGAGATCATATTAGAAAGAACAGATATTACAAAACAGCACTTCAAAACCAAAACTATTAACGGGAACTACTTCAATTTCGTTCTGAATCTGCTTTATGATGAAAAAAAAAAAACAACTGGGAAAACAGATCCGTACAGCTGAGAATATCAATATGGATTTAATTAGAGGGTAAGCTCCTAGAAGACAAAGTATATGCTGCCTTTTTTATAATATAAATGACTAATGTTGCCTAAAAATAGACTGATGGTCCACCAAAATAAATTCGTATTTAGGTTGTGCACCAACCTAATACTATGAAGATTGTGCTCTACTAGTTATTAAATAAAATGCATTAATATAGTATAGTACTTCTTTCAAGATTTGTTTTTATTCTGAAATATTAATTATTGCTATTCACAAAAATTGAAGGTAAAAATAAACCTGGATAATAGTAAAAACACTTTTCAATCTTAGGTTTATGACATTTATACACTCTACCTTCTATTCTGAGTCAGGTAAGTTACTCCTACTGTAGAACCGTAACAGCTAAAAAGGCAAAAGCAGAGAAGCAACATATTCTTCACAGAAAAGAGGCAAAGGTACATAGCGGAAAGGCTTCACAAACAGAAGTTTTAAATACTGACTTTAACAATTCCTATTTTGAGGCCTTAGGCTTCAGTGGCTCAGCTCTAAAATAGAAATAAAATAACCTACCACTTAGGATTATTTTAAATATAGGTAATTGTTCACTTGTTAAATATATACTGAACTCCCACTATATGCAGTAATTACTAGGAAACTCCATGGAAGATTTACAACATTTTCTGAATAAGTTCAATAACTACTGATTTCATGTGAGCATCACTCTCAACATATTTATTGGTGATTATAGTATAGGAACCCTATTACTTACAATACAGCCTAACACTAATAATTCTTATATCTTTAGGTATACTATCTTAAATGAGCAATAAAATCACCAAATTTGTCCGTAATTTCTGAAGAAAGCTAAAATACAGGATTTCATTTTTATTCAGAAATTGAATAAATATACTAAATAGATATTGTAAATCAGAGATCTCAAAATTTTATTTTAGTTTTAAACTAATAAGTGTTTCTCCAAAATTACATGGCCAAGAGAGCTGTGACTTACAATTTAATGAAGTTATTTTTGATAAGAAGAGTTTAATGGGACATGATATCTATACTTTTACTCTGGTTCCCTTAGTCTCTCCTTGTATTTGTATTGTTTATTAAAATTATAATAAAAAGATAAAATAAATGTTGCAAACTTTTCTCCAATGTCAAGGAGATGTAAACCAAATATGCTTCACTTGTTCACTTTACCTTTTTAAGGTTATTACATTAAGGCCTTTGATGTAATTTGTAATCAAGTTTGATAACCCTTATTAATTAGGATTTATGAACTCATAAATCAAAATTCAAACTTTAGAAATTAATTTTAAACTATTATTCTAATCTCACACATTTAATCAAAGTCCTACCTTAGAAGGTTCTTATTAGCATTAAAAAAGGACTCCAGAAAACAACCTAGCAACTAAGTTATCAATATGTAGTAGCTGCTGCTAGGAATAAAATGGTCTCAACAAGGATCACAAAGAAATATCAAAACTTTCCATTGTTAGCAATATTAGTATTGTAATTTTTATATAAACTAACAACACATAGACAGGAAAAGCATAAGTGAAATATAACAAGTAGAACATAACAAAAAACCATACTACAATGATGTTAACATTAGAAAACAGCATTTTCAGAGTAAAAGTGATACAAGCAAACAAGTAAAAATTCTATAATGCCAATTTGAATTGTAAATATCAATACAAACTCATAATTATATTCTTTCCAAAAAGTATTTTTTCTCAGTTTTGTCCACTGAAAAAACCTACAAGTAACAGCAATGCACACTCAAGTTTCCAGATTGAGGCATCCAAATACTATTTCCCACAAAGAAATCATGATTCTTTGGAGAAATGGCTGATTACAGTTACGGAATAAAATGAATAAATGAACCTGGGGCAACTGGTATCAGAAGGCAAACAAGCTTGGGTTATATTAAATAAAGAGCCAATATGAAGGGACTTGTGCTGACCAAAAAAATGGGACAATTTAAGCATCAAAAAGAAAATGACTACAATAAAAAAATTAATTAAATATATAAAAATCTATGAGTTCATAAAGATACTTTAAAAAAAAAAACACTTTAGATCCCTGTGACAGTTGCTAGGCACCAACTCATTATTCTAAAAATTGGTTTCTGTTTTAAAAGGAAAAGAAACAAGCACTTATCCAGTCTCTCCAGTATAAGCTGTACCTCAAATTAACCAAACAACTGATGAGAAGTTCTCTACAGAAGATTTTCAACTAATAAATGCAGATGATGGAATTTTTAAAATTACCATTTGTAAATCCTAATGAAACATTAGATACAGGCAATGATTGTTATTAGAGGCTAAAATCATTAGGTGACAGTCTGATGGGAAACTTTATATTGAATGGATCTAAACCTATTGATCAATCTTAAATTTACTAAAACAGGAACCAAGGAACCATCAGATACCACGTGGATCCTCATGTAATATAATAAATACAGAGCACCAAGTAATCTCATAAGAACAAATGAATCCAAATCTGCTGAAGCCTCTAGATCTAACTGCCAGATTACAAAGAAAGTAGAATATGTTAAAAGATAAACCATGAATATCTTACAAGCCAAATCCAGAATGTAGAAGATTTTATAGGACACCTAATTTGTTTTATTCAACAAATACATGGCATGAATAAAAAGGGTGAGGTAAAGAGGAGAGAGATGATGTTATACATAAGTACCTTATAAGTCTTATATAAGGCTTAAGAGACTTATCAACTAAATATAATGTGAGGACCTTGTTTGCATACTAATACAAACAAAGCAGCTATAAGAAATTATTAACTTTATTGAGGTTATAATAATATATTTAAAAACAGATAAAAAGCACTTAGCTGTTAAAGAGATACACACTGACATATTTACAGAGGGATACATACAATATCCAGAATTTCCTTTAAAATACTATGGTGTCTTTCTTCTAAAAAAGTAGAAGAGGAAATAAGATTGGCAAAATGTTAAAATTTGGTCAGGCCCAGCAGTATTCACTATAATCTTCCCTCTTCTTTTGTTTATGTTGAAAACTTGGGTAATAAAATGAACTTGGGTTTTAAGAAAATAATAAAATGTCTACAGGATAAACTGAATAATCAAGTATTTTATGCAACACTGATTAAACAGTACATATGTAACAGTATACATAAAATGAAGCCTAATAAGTTTTTCAGATATCTGTAGCTATACACAAAATTATTTATACATCATATTATATCTTTAAGTAGGACTACCTAATCTCTTCTTAGATGTTAAACTCTCTGCTGATAGGCCAGGAGTACATTTTATTTCTTCACCACCTGCCCAACACTAGTGTCAAGAATACCTAGTTTATAATACAATCAAAGAGGTTCCTTCGAACAGTTATGTCCCTCATGCAGTTCAAGAAATGCGTCATCTATATTTATGTACACAGTAAAAGAAAACATCAAATGACTGAGAGTTAAGAAGACAAATTCTAATAATGTCAGTTTTTAAAGGAGTTACAAAAAAGAAATCAAGACTTGCAGTATGGTAACAGTGTCAGAAAAAAAAAAAATTCTTACCAAAAGCATCTTCAACTCCATCATAAAGCTCATTAGATCAGGAGAGTGCTGCATTCTCTAGATCAAAATATTTCCAATTAATTTCATTTGCACAATAAATATTCTATCCACTAAAACTGTAAAAAAATGTAGGCCCAAGTGAATGTGAAAAAAAGATTAGCTATATCTACATCTGAAAACTATAAGAAATGAAGTATCGGTCATCAACTTTACTACTCCTACCAATTTCATTTTGAAACAGTAATTAATGTCCTCAAATCTAATTTGCTGAGATATATTAAACTGTGTTAGAATGTCACTTAAAACCTCACACTACTCTGTTTCTTGAGCACTGTTTACTACTGAATCCCTTGTCCCCCTTGCAGGGCATGCGATGGGAGTGTGGCTTGCTTCTTCAGTGCCCCGCTGCATAAACCTCTAGGGGAGCATACAGACGGGCAGGCTGTGGAGCTCCAACCCCACAGCAGTGTCTAGGGGTGAATGTTTACAGCTACTGAAAGCCCAGTGGGTGTGTGTTACAAGGTGCTTTTTTAGTTTAGCCATCCATAGGCAGCTTGTGTTAGTCAGCTCAATTAGACCCCTGCCTTATTGCAAGGACAAAGAACTTTCTGTATCCCGTGGTTCCTGCCTTGGTGTACTGGAAAAATTGGATCACATGTGGGCTTGGAGAATGAGTGCAAGGTTTTATTAAGTGCAAGTAGCTCTCAGTAGATGTGGGAGACAGAAGGGAGACGGTTTTCCCCTGGCGTCGGGTTGCTCAGCAGCCCAGGCTCTCCTCCAACCACCCTGGTCGAACTCCACGTCATTCTGCCGGTCAATGGCCTGCCGGCATGCTGAAGTCTATCGGTGTGCTCTTGACATGCTCTCGATGTCCTCTCGATGTCCAGCCACTTGTGTGTTCCTCCACCGATATATTTCTCTCAACGTCCAGCCACTTGTGTGTGTGTGTGCCTGCTAGGGTCTCGGGTTTTTATAGGCACAAGATGGAGGTATGGCAGGCCAGGGTGGTCTTGGGAAATGCCTGTCCTCACCTAGGTCAGTGGGCACAGGCCCGGGGGTGGAGCCCTCACCAGGGACCCATCTTTCTCTACTCAGCACTTCCCTGCCGCCCTTCTGTATCACTACTATGTCTAGCAAATCTAACAACCTCATCATTACTTTTTTTAAAGAAGAAGAGAAAGAAGAGGAGGAGGAGGAGGAAGAGAAAAAAAAAGAGAAAGAAGAGGTATAGGAGTGATGTGAGTGGGAAGAGGAGTATAAAATATAAAAATCAGGCAACTCTATGTAATTTTTAAAATCTAGTGGCAGCAATAAATTAACAATTATTAATTAACAATATGGTCATTTTTTTTATTTTTCCCTTGACCTTAAAAACTACCTATAATTGTGATTTTTGTCCTCTCACAACTAATCCATATTAGTCAAAATGGAGACAGTCATTCATTAAAGTAAAACCTGTTATAATAAAATGGCAAAAAAGGAAATAATCTCTAAAGTACAATAAATATTTAAGAGTTACTATTCCATTTCCTAGAAATCCTTCATTCTTAAAATAACTACAGAAAAAAATATTCTCAAGTTTTACATTGTTTTCAACAATGCATGAACACATATGATTCACATCTTAACATAGCTTTGAGTGGGTCTGTGTAGAGCAAATCCTTGACTATCCCTTCTTCTACATTGCATTTTCCCCTTAGTTTATTACAGATGATCAATAAATGACAGGGTCTGGAAACTAAAGTCCAGAGGCCAAATCCAGCTCAATACTGTTTTTGTAAACAAAGTTTTATTGGCATGTAGCCATACACATTCACTTACCTCTTGTCTATGGTTGCTATAACGGCAGAATTGAGTAGCTGCAACAGAGATCTTATGGCTTACTAAGCCAGAAAAACTTATTATCTGGTTCTTTACAGAAAAAGTCTGTTGACTCCCTGGCCCATATTTACTAAAATTAAAAATGATACAAGAAAAGAATAGTAATATTCACTGGGACTGTAAAATAAAAAGAAGACTTTAACACTGGGTTCTACCTAACCAATTGGGGGGCAAGGAAAGATAAATAATTGGGATTTTTTTCTAGGAATCCTCTTGATAACTTGCTGGTGAAAAACAGAGTAATAGATCTTAATATTAGACTACATAAACCATTTTTTCCCATGCTATTTCAATATGTCAACAGATGCATTTCTTAAATTTTAGTGTACAATATAAATAGTCAAAGGGATGGAGACAGGGATGGAAAGAAAACAGAAATAATTTGAACATATCCTTAAAAAAACTTCTGTAATTATATTGCCAGGATGATAACCTTCATTCTATAAATCAAATAGTTTATCTCCTATACTTCTTTGCAGCTTTAATGCTTTATGGGAGAGTTACTGTGATTGTCAGTTATCATAGATAATAACCTGCCTTTAAGACACAGAAATATAGAAAATCAGGAAAAAAACACACAAATGCATAAAGCATAAAAAGAAAGGCAATTCTAAAAACTATTTTTCTAAAAGAAGAATTATATTATGTCATTATTTTGCTTCAGTAACTGATTTTTTTTTCTAATCTTTAAAGGAATTTTCAGGTAGAGGAACCTAAACATTAAGAATAAAGAAATTAATCCTGCCTATTAACACACTAAGCAGCCTTTAATTTATCTCCCCTCATTATGCAAGTACACATGATCCTAAATTATTTCTGCCACATCTTTTCTGTTGCTAATCTAGGACTAAAATCCCATTTTTGCCACAGATATCCCACAGCTCTAAATGGGTCTGATTTTTTTTCCCTATCACCACCATTCAGTCTCAGAAGAAAAATCACTGAAGAAGTGATGGATATGGATAAGGGTGAATGCATTTGAAGAACCTAAAGTCTCAAAGATGGAAATCGATTTCAACACAAAGGCTGCCTGGAGATCTCCTGAGGACACTGAGATTTAAAAACACACAGAGATGAAACCTACAAAACTTAACAACTATTAAACCAGTTTGTTACAACATTGTGCAAAGCAGGTCTTTAAAGAACAATAAATTTAGTAATTTCTTATCTTCACTGAAAACATAAACCTTTTAAAAAGGACTTACCTGTTGTACTATTCGATGGTATCCACTAAGTATTGTTCTCAGCTGCCAACTACATAATAATCTAAAATTTTAATGAGACAAAATGGTTTATTCATTGTTCAGAATTAAAAACTTATTTGTATGCTAACACAAACATGCATGTACATACAAAAGAATGACAAACATAATTTGGACAAGTTAATAAAATTTTTACCACTGATACTGTTCAAAGTCTTGTCTTCAAACTGTTGGTACTAATTTTATTTCAAAATATAAATAACTGCAATCAGTAAATGACATGCAAACAGTACATCTTGTTTTTTAACTTTAACACATCCGAAGCAAAGTTTTCCACTGAAGTAGATTCTTTTCCAAGATAGGTTAAATAAAACCAACAGTTTTGATAACAATATATCATCAAATATAATGTATCAAACATGTATTTGAAAAAGCATGTGTAGCAATATTATCTTCAAATTCCCGATTAATATAACTAAAAGGATACATTTTATTTTTATTTTTTATTTTTTAGAGACAGGATCTCGCTCTGTCACTCAGGCTGGCTGGAGTGCAGTAGAATAGCTGACTGCAACCTGAACTCCTAGGCTCAAGAAACCCTCCCGCCTCAGCCTCTCAAGTAGCTGGGACTACAGACACCCACCACCAAGCCTGGCTAGAAAGATACATACTTCTAATTAATTGTATAAGAAGTGATAAGTTAATGTTCATCCACTTACTGGCTGACCTCTGTTGTGCTCCCGATACTATTAAGTAACTCTTCTAAGGAATTACTTTTAGTTACCTACAAGTAGGAAGCCTCTCTGAGTTTTCCCCAACATGGCCTTTTCAAACTGTCACAACTCTCTCCATTCTTGGTCTTCAAATCCCCATAACCATCCCTATCTCCTCTCTTAGTGGCAGAGTAGTTCATTCAAATGTCCATTGGTAACCCCTGCTCAAAATGTGCTTTCTCTCCCCTGCTACCAACTTGGTGACTTCAATTAATTATCCCTTTATTGTGGTATCCTTAATTTATGTTCTGCTAGTTTTTTTCTCCTTAATGAATTAACTTGCTCAAATATATATCTTTAAAGAACATCATAACTCCTTCTTGAATGCATACCATTCTCTAACCACCTCTTTTTCTTCAAAATACTTTATACTTTCCTCCCACTCATCCAACACAAATGGCTTCTGCCACCACACAAAACTTACTTGCATCTAACCTATCTCTTTGTAATCCTCAGCATTGCTAACCATGCCTTGCTTAAGCCTCTCTTTATTTGGCTTGAAAGACTCTGCTGCCCAAGTTTTCCTCTTCTCTGGTCAATCCTTAGTCTCCTTGTAAGTTCCTCTTTAGTGACCAGTCCTTTAAATGTTGGTACGCCCCAAGGTCTTGTCACTGGCTTTCTCTTCTACCCCGCTAGACACAGCACCAAAAAGTCTATTCATAATCAAGGTCTCAAATCCTTCATCTGTTGTAACTTCCACACACATCTGCACTCCAGGTCTCACACTCTATTTCCACACCACTACATTACTACCTACTAAATAGCTCCTCTTGGTATTTCACACCAAATATGCCTTAAAACAATCTCTCTTCTACTTTTCCATCTGTGACCTCTTCTCTAGCTTAGAGATCTGAGCCGGGAATTTGAAAAGCATCCTCTATTCCTTTTTCCCTCTTAACTACACTTCTGTTGGTCACAAAATCCTCTCAATTCTACTCATAAATATCTCTGGATTCCTTTTCCTCCATTCTTCTCCAGAAATATTTAGAGGCAGAATTGAGATTTGGGGTGGTACCTAAATTTTCAGTCTCATATCCTGACTAGTTGTATCTACCAGCACTCAATGTTGGTACCTAATTTAAGCCAGGACTGAACTGATGTGACTCTTCTCATATAATGAATATACACATTAATAATATCAGTCAAAAGTTGGAAAAAAAGTTTTCTAATCCTTTTGTTCTCCCTTTATATACCTGTTCAGTATTTGTTAGTGAAGTGTACACAATGGCTGTTTACTGCTTTAAATATTTTTTTAAAAATGAGAGAACTAATGTTTAAAAGCACTTTAGTAACAGGTAAATATTTACAAATGCTGCATTGGTTTGGAAAAATCAGAAATGTTTCTTTTGGGGCAAATGACTAATAAGCATTTTAGGCAAAACTCTAGTCACTAGAATCAATTTATACCAAATGTACTGCCTGTCCCACCAAAATGCAAAAATGCACGTTTATAACTAAACACCATATCACCTTGCATTCTTCAGTTGTAAATCTTCAGGCAACACTATCCTAAGGTGGAAGTCTCTTCCCTGTGGAAAATATTGAAAAGGATCACTCAAATTTTTATCTTTCACTTAATGCTGAGAAGTTAAACAGAATCACAAAGAAAAGACAATGTTTTCCTTTATTTTCTAAAAGGTATCAATTTTATCCACATCTTTATACTTGTTAAAATATATGCAACACAATATTGCATTTGAGGGAAAATAACTCAAAACTGTCTTACAAAAACTTTGTAGTTACTGGGAAATCAAAACACTCAGATAAGACTTTGTTTTTAAAGAGAAAGTCACTCACAAACACAAGAAATATTACAAAATTGCTAACCAGGCCCATAGAAGAAATTTCAGTGTTATTTCTTAGTAAATAAATTTATGAAAAAAGAAATTCCTTCAAATTGCTTTAATGGAAGAAAAACATCACAATATAAAATAAGGATATATAACATTATATAGTCGTTTTCAGCTTACTTTCTAAATTTTAATAAAATGAAAATATATTTAGTTACACAATCTATACAGACATAAGTGAAATACTTGCATAAATCAGAGTATATTTAATTCTCCCATTAGTGGGCCTCTAACTTTTTTGAAATCAGTAACATATTAACTATATATTTGAACAAACAGAATTTTACTCAAGAGTCTTTCTAAGAGAAGAAAGACCTCTGAGACATTTATTCCATTTTACTTTCTTGGAAAAGTGAATGGGTAAGTAGTTTAAACTTTATAACTTAAATAGGATAATACACAGGAAACTTGAGCAAAAATAGCAGAAAAAGACAAACAGAAATGTAATCTTTTACTCTAACAGAATAAAATGAAAAAGTAATAAAATTCTCAAAAAACAATTACCATGTGGAATTTTAACACAGTCTCCCTCAAAGCAGTTTCAAAAACAGAGGAACACAATTAAATGTACCCTATAACCTTTACTTTCATGGTAATATTACAGTTCTGACTTTCATTACATTTAAATGTCCTTTAAAAAAATGAAACAAAATGTACTACTGACCTTTTCAAAAGGTCAAGTAACAATAATTCACTGTTTCATTAAAGCACTAAAAGGTATTATGTAGTAACTTTAACCTAACATTATAGACATCCCACACAAAGGTGTAAGAACAATTTGGAATTCTTAATTTACACGAAAAATAGAAGAACTATTCTATATAGAAATCTGTGCTGTTATCTGAAAGAATAAAATTCCAAAGTCCCTTATTTGCAAAGCCCAGCCATTTTAAAAGGTCAAATAACATGTCACATGCCACGATACTTTCCTGATTCAAGAAAATGTCCAAAATTAGCTTTTTAGTTAAAGTATCTAGAAATATTAATTGTTCTCAAAAAAGCCAGATTTTCCAGGCTTTCAGGCAACAGAAATACTAACAGTTACCTAAACCTCCATCTCCCCACATATCATACCAAAAAGCTACATCAATTACCATATTAAGAATAAATAAAACCACAAAAATCCCATGTTTTCAGCCAGAAGACAGGGTACACGATAAACCTCAAATTACCTACAGGAAGAAAAATATGAAGCACTTTCCAATAGAACCTACTCTAGGACTCCCACAGCAACTCTTTTTAGAGTGCTAGGAAGGTCAGGAAAAAAAATGCATGGGAGAGAGACTGGGAGGACTAAGTAAGTGTAAAAAAAAATAGTAACAAGCTCTGGTAAATCAGAACACTGACCTACAAAGAGAAGACTTAATGTGCATTAACACAAAAGTCAAGGAGCCAGTCCTGGGAAAGAATGCTTTAGAGGCAGAAGATAGGAGAAAAGATAGGTAGAGACACCTTTTGGAAACTGGGTATTAGGAGGAAAAAGAAAAGTGGGAAACTTAGGCTCTTATACGAGTAAATAAAAAAACAACTCCTTCCCACCCAGCACTCGCCAACATTTCATCCATTAAATAAATTGTACAATAAATAAAATACCCAACAGAAGAGGGTATTCTTAAACTAGTAATTTTATAAACTATTGCAAACAGCCAAAACGTCCATGAATACAAAGATACTGTCTTCATCAATGCAAAGCTACTATGAGACAAAGAAACAAAAAGAGACTCACAAGATTTCAGGTGATAACAGACTCCATGCAAACAAAACCCAGAAACCATAAACAAATTATAATAATAAATGAAATAAGTGAGCATTTGTATCCAGATTCAGACATTTTAAAACTAAAATGAGAAATTGTATTTTAAAAAATGAAAAGAAATGAATGAGCTGAATAAACGCAGGGTGAAATGAAAATAAAGAAAAACACAAAATTATATGAAAGTGAAGGAATAAATTTAAAAAGAGTCCAAGGAAGAACAAAATGAAATACAAATGTCATAAAGGGCAAAGAAAAAGCAAGAAAATTACCAAATGAGAAAAAAATTAAAGACCATCAGAGAAAAGGAGTTGAAGTGGAACACAGACCCAAAAAAGTCCAGAGTACATATAATTGGAGATCTTGGAAAGAAAAATAAAATAGTAGAAAAAAAAATTTAAAAATATAATCCAAGTACACTTCCTGGAGTTCCACATACCAAAAGGGATAAGTGGCCACATGATAAAAGTGATTCACAATGATCAACTCTTGAGATATATCTTAATCAACAGATTTTCAAAATAAGAAAAAAGTCCAGAGTCTCTAGGTAAAAGATCAAATATATAGAAAACAGAATATAATTGGAAACAGACTTCTTAAAGCAAATTAAAAAATGAAGCAAGAATGAAATAGAAAATGTTAAGAAACTGAAGAGAACTGCTTCTAGCTATTATGGAGTTAAAAGGACAGGATTTATCTTCCCTCCTTATTTAAAAATTGGACAAAACATATGAAACAATGATTTTCAGACATTAAACAATAGGCAGCGAGGACAGTGATCCTTGAAATAAGGGAAACAAATGTGAAAATGCCTAAAATTGTCTGGTTCTATGATGGGAGTATTTTCAGGCTGCAAGATAGGGATGGACAAACAAATAAGAGCATAATATTCTCCCTGATGTGAGAAGAAACATGTGATCAAGGGGAGGCCAACAATTGTACAATTCGCAAGGTATAGTACCAAGCAGGAGAGAAATGCATGGAGAGTAGAGAAATATACACAGAGAAACGCCAGCGAATTTCAGAGGATTCCTGACAAGGAGTCTTCAGCTGAGTACTGCTTGCTCCATGGATATGAGGAAAACACCCAAAGGTGGGAACGTACAGGAACAGTCTGCAAAACAATCTCAAAGTTCATACAAGGCTGGGTATAGCCATGTTCCAACCAGCCAGAGTGGAAACCTTGCAATGTAAGAGCCATTAAATAGAGTGCTCAGAAGGTGTTGCTTCACTTGTAGAGACTAACTACCTTAGACTAAAGTCTGCTCTGGGTCTACCTAGCAATGCTTAAAAGCTTAAAGCTTAAAATTACTTGGAAAGATCAAACTGTTTCCAAGTAATTTAACTGTAGCTCACAACAAATCTCAAGAATACTTAGAGAACAAAAATATCTAGCATGCAACAGGTAGCATTCATTATGTCTAGCATCCAATCAAGATATACCAAGCACATATATTTCCTGCAAAGAAGCAAGGCAATACCCACAATGAAGAGAAAAATCAAGAGAGACATAAAAATGGCACAGATGATAAACCTGATTTAAAAAATTAAAACAATTAAATTTCATACGTTCAAGAAGGTAAAGGAAAACATGAGCGTACTAAATAGAGACAGGAAAGATGTAAATAAAGACTCCCTCAAAAAACATAATGTTTGAGATTTTTAAAAAATATGCTAGATAGTATCAACAGCAGATTCCACCTTACAAAAGAAGGTATTAGTATACCTGAAGACATATCCCAAATAAAGAGAAAGACATTGAGGGAAAAAAAAATGAACAGACCATGAGTGAGTTGTGACAACTTAAAGTGACCTAAATGCATGTATTTGGAGTGCCCAACACAGAGGACAGAAAAGGAGGAACAAAAAAAAAAAAAGAAAGAAAGAAAAAATAATGGCAGATGTTTTTTCCAAATTAAATGAAAATATATACTCAGAGATCCAAGAAGCTCCACAGACCTTACGGAGGAAAAACATGAAAAAAGCTACACCAAGGTACAACACACATCAAAGTGACTGAAACCAATGACCAAAAAGAAAAATCTTAAAAGCAGCCAGAGGAAAAAAATATTCTATTTACAGAGAAACAAAGAAAAGAGCAGAGATTTCTCGTAGAAAACAGTGCAAGACAGTGAAGTAACATCTTTACAGTATCAAAAGTGACAAAATTATATAGTTGATAAACCAATAGTGCATAAAAAATGGAATCCTAATATTACGTTAAGGCAGACCATGATAGATTTAATATGTATATTATAAACCCTTTAAGCAACTAGTTAAAAAAAAAACACACACACACACAGCCAATAAACTGGCAAAGGAGATAAAACAGAATTACAAAAAAGAATTCCAATAATATAAAATACAGAAAAATACCAAAACAATTAAAAATATGTAAGACAAACAGAAAACACACAGCAAGAGTAGATTTAAATCCAACCATATGAATAACCACGTTAAATGTAAATAGTCGAAGCACCCCCAAGTAAAAGGCAATGACTATCATATTGCATAACAAAGCAAAGCACAGAAGAAACACACTAAATATTAAAACACAAATAAGTTTAAAATAAAGAAGTAAAGATAAACCATGGTAACATCAATCAAAAGAAAGATGCAATCTATATGTTAATATTGGAAAATACAGATTTCAGAGAAAACATTATTACTAAAGATAAAAAAGGTCATTTCATAATCCTAAAGGAGTCAATTCATAAAGAGTGCTTAACAATTCTAAAAGTTTATGGACCTAATAACAGAACTTCAAAATATATGAAGCAAAACTGATAGAAATTAAATAGAAATTGAAAAATCAACAAAGATCGTTGGAGATTTCAACACCCCCTCTCACTAACTGATAGAAAAAGCAGACAAAAAAGTCAGTGAGCACAGTGCTACCCAATAAGGGCCTGGGTAGCACTCTGAACCAATTTGACCTAACTGGCATTTATATAATACTCTACCCAATAGCAACAGAATAGTCATTCTCTTAGAGTACACACAGTATATTCACCAGGATAGACTATATTATTGGTCATAAAATTAAGGCTCAATAAATATTTTAAAAATTTAAATCATACAAGTTATATTCTGTGACCAAAATGAAACTAAATTATAAATCAATAACAAAAAGATATCTAGAAAATCCTTAATATTGAGAAAGATAATCATAATTCTAAGTGAGCCATAGATCAAAGAAGAAATTAAAAGGCATTTGGAACTGAATAAAAACAAAACTACAGCACACCAAAATGTGTGTGATATAGCTAAACCAGTATTCAAAAGAAAATTTAAAGCACTAAATATCTGTACTAGAATAGAAGAAAGATCTCATATCAATAATCTTCCATCTAAAGAAATCAGGAAACTTAAGATCAGAAAACTATCATATAGAAACATAAAAATAATAGAAAAAAATTGAAGAAATTAAAGACAGGTTCTTTGAAGAAATCAGTAAAATTTATAAACCTCTATCTAGATGTATCGGGGGAAAAAATGAGACATAAATTACCTACATCAGATATGAGGATGAAAGCTATTTTTAACGTATATCCATAAATTATTTGACACTCCTACCTCTAGGAGTTGGTGCCTAATTTCCCTCCTTTTGAATATAGACTAAGAAACTTGCATCTAACACAATAAAGCAGAAGTAAATGTGTGTGACTTCAGAGACTAAGAGATTAAAGAGAATGTGCATCTTTATTGATCTCTCTGTTGTATCATACACTCAGGAGAAGCTAGCTGCCATGTGTGATAACAGTCAAGCAACACTATAAAGATCCATGTGGTGAGGAACTAAGGCCTCCTGTTAAGAGCAGTAACAAACTGAGGCCTCATGGCCAATAGCTATGTGAATGAGCAATCTTGGAAGCAAATCCTCCACCTCTAGCTTGACCAACTGGCAGCCCAGGACAGCTCTGAATGCAGCCCAACACAAATTAATAAACTTTCTTAAAACATTATGGGATTTTTTGTGATTTTTTTTTAGCTTATCAGCTATCATTAGTGTATTTTATGTGTGCCCAAGACAATTCTTCTTCTTCCAATGTGACCCAGGGAAGCCAAAAGATTGGACACCCTGTTTTAGACCATCAAAGTCTTGGCAAATATCTTGATTGCAAGATCATGAGAGATTTTGATCAAGAACTACCATCCAAGTTGTTCGCAAATTTCAAATCCACAGAAACAGTGAGACAATAATTGTTTTTGTTTTAAGCCACTAAGGTTTGAAGTAAATAGCAGCAAAAGATAACCAACATAGAGAGCATCATTACAGATCCTAAAGACATTAAAAGGATAATAAGGGATTATTGTAAATAACTTTAAGCCAATAAAATCAGAAACCTAGATGAAACTAACAAATTCCTTGAAAGACACAAACTACCAAAGCTCACTCAAAAGGAAAGAGAAAATCTGATAATAGAGACAACACCTAAAACTGATTACATATTAGGTCACAGGAAAAAGTACCAGTAAGTTCCATGGAGACTTTTTTATAAACAATACTGTCTAATTACAATACAAGAAAAATTAGAAATCAGCAACAAAATTAAAAACCAAAAAGGACCTTCCACGAGAAAATTTTTACAACCTATTAAGGTGCATAGTAAATTGACATCATATAGCTTCTAAAAATGGTGGTTATAAGGCTACATGTCAGCATCTATAGGATACTTTTAAAACACTGATGAGAGGAAATGCAAAGCCTTAAAAACTTACATACATAAAACCTGCTCACTGGCCAAATCTGGGACAATTCGAGGATCAAAATAAATAATGATTATAATCAAGTAATTTTTTTAAAAGTCCATGCATCCATTCTAATATAATTAAATAAATGAGAAAGCAGGCAATGCTACTCCTTATAATGAATTGCCACTTCATAAATATAGAAATGACAAGAGTTAGAAAATCATCATTTGGCAACCGTGATAGTAATAGTCGACTCAAGCAAAAGTCAATGGACGCTAAAACCAGAGAATGTGTGTGAAAGTTTGATGCCTCAGAGTACCTCCCCAAAAGTACTTATTAATTACAAAAGGAGACTCTGACAGATGATACCTTAACCAGGTGATCAAAGTTAACATCATTAATAATGGAACCAACCAGGTAACCTCACAAGCCTTGAGAAGGACAAAACAATCTTTCTGTAGTATCCCTGCCAAAAATGCATTAGCTGAATTTAATAGTGAGGAAATATCATCCAAACCCAAATTGAGATACATTCTACCTAACAGCCAATCTGTACTCTTTAAAAATGTCTAGCTTATAAAAAACACAAACAGACTGAGAATTGTTCCAGGTTAGACATGACAACTAAATGTAATGTGGGATCTTAACAACAGATGGTAGGGGATGGGGGTATAAAACATACAACTGTATCATAAACAAAATTTGAAATATGGACTCTATCTTAGATAATAGTATATCATTAAATATCCTGATTTTAATCACTGTACTGTGGTTATGTATGAGTGTGTCCTCGTTCTTATGAAATGTATGCTCAAGTATTTAGGGATAAAGGGGAACTACGCCTGATTTGACCTCAAATGGTTCAGGAAAATAATGTGTATACACACCCACCCACATACATATACTTAACAATGATCAGTAAAATGGAGAAAATGTAAACTGGTGAATCTAGGTAAAGGGTATACTGGAATTACTTGTACTGTATATCCTTGCTACTTTTCTGTAAATTTAAAATATATACAAAATATTTTTAGACACGTAAAATGTTTAAGATTTAAATAAACTGCTAAGGCAGGTACAAATTGGAATTCTAGCTATAGCAATGGTCATAAAAGAAACTTTCATCTAATCTCAATTCTAATGGGTGTACTTGTTTCCTAAAAGGCCTTAGCAGATATAGACATACATAACAGTATTTTGCCTAAAATTAGGTATAACATGCTTCCTGTAAAAAAAAAAAAAAAAAAGTAACTTAAAATTTTTCAACTTTTCTAAATGTTGTCTACAAGAGAATCATATTTTCAGCTAGGTAATTCAAGAAGAATACTTCTAATTGGAGAGGGAAAGGTGGATTAACTTTTTTCCATATGGAATAATGAATTTTTAACCTCTACTTTCTGTGATGGTCATATGGTAATTCCACATATACTCAAAGACTATGCGTGATGGTGGGGAAGTGGGCACAAGGTTGAGTGTAATGGTCAGAAAGGAAAAGTCTACACTCCTAACCTAAGGTATCCTGGTGCAATGTAAAGAGAAAAAAATCCAGGACTGAAATCACACAGCCTGCGTTTAAGGGATTCTGATGTGATCATCAGCAAATAACGTCTCCGGTTTCCCATACCTTGATTTCTTCAACTAGAAAATGGGAATGATGATTCTTTTAAAAATTTCTGCCTCAAAGGGCTGAGGATTAAGTGAACTATTTACCTGGAAAGCGCTTTGTAAACTTCAAAACCCTACACATGTGTTAGTATGTGTAATAAACTCCATATGAGAGGCCACTGGAATCAGCAAAGTTAATTAATTCCATTGCTGTCATGCTTCTCCTAGAAGATATTGTAACTGTGGGTGTACAGGTACATACGACTTGGCAAAGGGCCAAAATAAGGTTTTCTTCCCAAATGTTCTTTCTACAGGAAACACGAAAATAATTAGCCCAGATTCCCGAGTGAACTCATCAACATCCGTGGAGGTGGAGGGTGTTAAAATCGAGTTAAGGCAAAATTTACAAAAAAAAAATTAAAAAACAGTCAATTGCGGGACACTGAACGAAGAAGGAAGCCAAACTCGGGGAAGGGCTAGGGAGAGAGGAGGCGTGGCCCCAGCCCCGCTCCACGCCGCGCGCCTCCTCGCTCCCCATCCAGCGCGGCGACCACCGGGGTGGCGGCGACAGCGGCGCTTCTCAAACCTTTAGTCTCCCAAGAGCCGTTACGCGCCGCCCCTCTCAATCCCCACAAGTCTGGGCCCCTAACCTCCTAGCCCGTCACAGACTTCTCCGCGCAGCTACGCTGCAAGAGGCTCTCTTAGCTAGAAAGCAACCACTGGGCGGGTACCTGAGCCGAGATGAATCCCTCATACACGGTTTTCGACCGGTTCTGGGGCAGAAGCAGGGGGCACTGGCGCAACAGGCTCGCTTCCGTCACCGCCATGGCTCGAAGTCCGGAGAAACACAGAAAAGCTCTAGACCTGCTGGGTCCTGCACATGCGCAGTCCGCTGGCGCTCGGACGCCGCGGAGCGGAAACCCCAGCCTTGGCGGGAAGATCCTGGAGGATTCCGCGGGCGGAAATGAAGGTGAAGCGCAGGCCAGGCCAAGTGGCGCTCTGCGGGAGGCGACATCAGGGCTCCCCAACCGGTAGTGGGAGGGAAGATTGCCCTCAAGTCCACAGGACTGACTGACCAAGATCATTCTAGCCTCAATTGTCCCAGGAGCCCTTTCGATGATTCTGTTTTACTTTATTGAAAGACTGTTACAACTTTGGTGTTGCATTTCCTCCAGAATAAAATGACTTTTACAGCCTGGACGTTGTAGCACTCTGTCTTCTTTGCTGTTGTCCTCTCTCCCTTAACATACAGAATAATGTATTATTTTGTGTATAATTATTGTAATATAATGTATAACACATTGATTATATCATATATATTACAGTTCTGTGGCTTACTAAGTTCAATCAGATATATTTGAGGCACACACATGTATACGTATATGTGTATTGATTAGACTCAAGTCAACACTGGACTCAGTTCTGTGTACGGCACTCACAAATATATAAAGCAAAACATGAGTAAAGATTGCTGATGGACTTGAACTTAATTTTCCTCTGACAGCGCTTGCAATATGTTTTTCTAACTCAGGAATGTTATCCATCCCATCTTATTAAGAGTTGATTAAATAAGAAACCTACTAAAATATTTACCATATGATTATTTGATTTTCCAATTTTCCAATTTTCCAATGCATCACGTTTGAGCCCTACTATTTGAAAAACATCATTGTAATGTGCCAAAGGTTGAGCAAAGATTATTTCGTCCCCTACCCATCTTTATTGACCTCAAGACAGAATTTGACATCCTGAAGATTCTTAAAGTTTGACAAGAATTTGTCACAGCATTCTGGATGCTTACAGAAAAGAATGCTGGAGCAGTGGTTAGATATAAATTACATTAAAGCAGTGGTTCTCAAAACGTGATCCTAGAACCTAGCAACAGCATCACCTGGGAACTATGTAGAAATACAAGTTTTCACCGCTGATGGGGTTCAGGATATGCTACCCCAAAATATGGCCCCTTGACATTTGAGAAAACAACAAAACCTAAGATCACTCTCTGACCTTCTCCCATCCTTCTTCCCTGAGGCGGGTCATTGGATCCTCAATCCAGAGGTGCTCTTCCTATACCCACAGGAAAGAAATATCCTTATCTCTAAAGAAACGGAGACATAGAAAAGAATCTGAACAAAAAGACCTTTGACAACTTACCCCAGTTTATTACCATTAGACCATGCTTTGTCCAACCGTACTTCCCCACAACTGTCCACTGTTCCTTCTAAAAATGCACAGGTTTTCCTGTTTCTTTGGGCTTCATCTCTGAAGGCTCCCATGCCACATAAAACTTAAATAAATTTGCACGCTTTTCTCTTATTAATCTGTCTTTTCTTATAAGGGACTCAAACAGGAATCTAGCAACAGGAAAGAAAGATGTTTCTCATTCCCTACAGGCCCCTATTTCAAACCTCGGGAATCCCAAACACTGGCAATAGGGCTCAGCAGTCTGCGTTTTAACAAGCTCTCCAGGTGATTCTGATGCATGCTAAGGTTTGAGGATCTCTGCAGGGGCAGGACATAACACCTGCTTTATTTTGCAACTCGGTAATTAAGGACGGCCATGCTACATGTTTTCCTATAAGAATAAAGTAGAGGCTGTGCAAAAGTGGGATCAACACAAAGATTAAGAGAACATATAGTCCCTTACTTCAAGCACTTTATAATTTATCTGTGAATTAAGATCTTTATTGTATCCAGTATGTTAAACTTCCCCACCACCACACTTTCCCCCATGGAACTTCTACCCTTTCTTTAAAGTTCTTCTCAAGTGCTATGTCTTTTTGGAAAGCTTTTTTAATCTTCTGAAAATTATTGCTCTCCCTAATCATTTAGCATATTTCCTGCTGCATCGTAGGTGCTAATAAATTATTTACTAAATATCTTAATTTGGGTTGTTATAGCAGAATACCATAAACTGGATAGGTAATCCGCAGAAATTAATTATTTCTTAGTTATGGAGGCTGAGAAGTCCAAAATCAAGACGCAAGGACAAGATTTGGTGTCTGGTGAGGAGTCACTTCCTGGAACACAGTCTTTTGGCTGTGACCTTACATCACATTCACCTTTACTATTGATACACTGGACAGTGTGACCACTTGCCAAAAGCAGTTGGCTCCTTGATTCGGAATCCCCATAATTAGGTAACTAGACTTAAAGATTTCCAGCACGTTTATTGCTAATTTATCATCTTAGATTTTAAAGAAAAGACATCCAAGTCACTGTTATGATAGTTGAACTTGTAAATGAGCATTCCTTATCAATAAAATCTATAATTGAAGAAATCCAATGACCAAGGAACAAGGTAAGATACCATATAAAAACTTTTTAATTCAATTACTCGACTATTATCCTTAGGTGTTCAAGACTGAAAGTTGGATACTCACTACCATCATCAATTCATACGTGGTTGTGCTGGAACCATTTATATATAGCCCAGTTGAAGTCAGCCACCCCAAAATCCAAAAAAAAAAAAAACAAAAATGCTCAATATGTTTAAAGATCAGAAAGCCAAGGAACTACTTCTACCACCATCAGCATGATTTCAATTTTGGAATCACTCTGACAAACTGCACAAAGATCCTCATTAAAGTTCAAGTTCCACCAGGTATCCTAGGCAGGATTTCATTTATATACTTTGCCACAAAAATTACTACTATTTAAATGCTATTGCCTGAGGAAGAACTTTATATTCTAACACAGAAAAATATCCAAACATTTTGACAAATAAAAAGCACAAATTCCAGAATGGTATGCTTACTATTATAACATTTATATTCAAATATATAAGTAAAGTTGCTCTGTATTACTAGCAATGGTTACTTTAGGGGAGGGAGATGGGAACAAAGAATGGAGATAATGGCCCATGGAGACTTTTATCTTTTATATTTTAATTTTTTAAAGGAGAATTATTAGTCTTAAAATTAAAAATTAAAATTTAAAATGCTTATACCATTCCAATTAGCATCTGTTATCCTTATTTTATAGCCCAAATGTTTAGCCATGTCCCAAGAGTTTCTTCTCCCAGTTCCCACCAGTAATGGAAGAAGATAGGATGCCTGCCATTAACATTAATAAGATTAATAAAGGAGAGATTGTTTGAGTCTGCTGAGAAGAAAGATGAAGGAAGAGACTTGCGAAATGTGAAAATAAAGGGAAAATGAAAATTAGGGGAAAGTGAAGGAAGAATAGCCATTTAAAAGAGTTTTCAAAAAAACTGGAAAAGCAAGCCAATAATATCCTATTCTCTGTGGCACTGTGTCATAGAATGGAAAAGACAGCAGATAGTCAAGATTAAGGCATGATCAGGAGTGTAAAATGCTACCTAAAGGTTGAAAAAACTGAGAATTATAGAGAGGCCTTTGGATTTGATCACGCAAAAGCATTTATTAATTTGAAAGATCAGTTTGCTCTTGCCTGTTTTTCTATCCATGCACTAAACAGCAGTTTATAAATTGCGATGTAGTGAATAATTTTTCAGCCTTGAAAAGACCATATCCATAAGAAATAAACTACAAAGACTTAATTATGTGACCAAAGTCTGGTAGGGTGATATATGGAGAAGACAACCTGGCTCCTATAACCCTACCCCAACTCTTTTGGAGCACACTCCCTTGGTAGGTAGGTTTTACCAATAATGAGTCTAGATCCATTGCAGGTACAGAATAACAATTTCTGCTTCACTCTGGGCTGTAGACTTGAGGAGCAATGGTACCCACAACCCAACTACAGGTAAACAAAAGACCATTTAAGGGTTAAGTCTGCTAAAAGAGTTGATGGGTTACAAAGATTGGGCTGGAATCAGAAGAATATTTATGGGGTCATCATCTAAAGAAAGGATAAGAATGTAAACGGGCCGTTTAAAAGTATAGAAGAATCCAGATTATTAAACAACCCTCTTCTTAGCAAAGCACGAAGACCCTCTTCCCAAGAAACACCATCCCCACACCCAGTGAAAGCCACTGATTAGAGAGATTAACAGCTCTTTTGTACTTTTTAATAAGCCACTGGGAGAAATGTCCTCAGATTACTAGCATCTAACAAAAATTACAACTCAGGAAATAAATGTTGCAGTTGACAGTGGCAGAATAGAAGAGACCTATTTACAGGGGGTGCAAGCTTGAGAAGGCCACAGTTGTAGAGGTTAGGAGAAAAAAGAGAATAATAAGTACATAGGATTAGAGAAGAGTAGTTGTTAAGAGGAGGAGGAAGCATGCAGCAAGAGAAATCAAAGGGAAAAATGACTCTATGTTTATTTTGAAATTCTGCTTGAGGCTAGTCAATCCCACTTGCCCTAAGATACCAAAAGGAAAGCAATTCCATCCCTGAGAAAAGGATTTCCAACATCCAAAGAGGAAAGAAGATGCACAAATCCCTCACTTTTACTCTGGAAACTCGAGCTAATAGATCAAAGGGAATGAGAGGAAACAGATTTAATCTTACTCATTCTCAATAAAAGTTTCTAATACTGTCCCTAAACCATCAAAATCATTTTAAAATATTTTAATACATAGGTGCCTAGGTGATGCTGAAAGGTTCTCAAAAGTATGATCTCTGGACCAGCAGCATCGGCATCACCTTAAAAGAACACACCAACTCTGATCTACTGGATCTCTCATTTCGGGAAGAAGGATTCAACAATCTGTTTTAACAAGTATGTGTGTACCAAATTCATGGGCCAGGCGCAGTAGCTCATCCCTATAATCCCAGCACTTTGGGAGGCCAAGGCAGGCAGATCACTTGAGGTCAGGAGTTCGAGACCAGCCTGGCCAACATGGTGAAACCCCATCTCTACTAAAAATACAAAAATTGGCCAGGCATGGTGGTGCACTCCTGTAATTCCAGCTACTCAGAAGGCTGAGGCACAAGAATTGCTTGAACCCGGGAGGCGGAAGTTGCAGGGAGCTGAGATCACACCACTGCACTCCCGCCTGGGTGACAGAGTGAGACTCTGTCTCAAAATAAAAATAAAAAACAAAACAAAACAAAAATTTATGTTTTAATTGGGCAAATCTGATACAAGCTAACACCATTAACCTAGACTTAGTAAACCCAAATTCTCATATCTGATTTTATTGTGCAGCTATAATTGAAAGTTATTGCATTAATCAAATGAATAATTGTTCAGACAGAAGTTTTACAGTGCCAAACTCAGAGTTAGCCTGGCACATATTTAAGGCTTAGAGGACATCAGCTAAAAAAATGTAGTCTGTTAGTGTCAAGCCATTATTTAAAAGAACTTCTTAATGTAAAAATTATTTTAGTTATAAACAGATAAACTTTTTTTTAAGCTAAAAAATCTATCTCAATTTGGATCAGACATTAGGGAGCTGAAATTTTCTTGACCCGTCCATTGCAGTCCCAGATGGCTGCCAGAACTCTAACCATAACTAGAGGGAAGGACAATAATAGCTTTCTCAGAGGTCCTTTCGAACACTAGCCATTCTCATATGCAAAGGGGCTGGGAAATACAGTTTTTTTAAGCTAATATATTACCTAGAGTTCTATTAGTAAGAATAAAGAAGAGAATGTTTACAAGATGCACTACTCCCCATTTCTGCAACACTATGAAATCCTTCTAACACACACAAAAATTAAAACTTTTTTGGCATTGCATTACTAATAAAATGTATACTCTATATGACGAATTTTCAGACTGAAGGTCCAATATGATCACTGTAATTCCAAAGATATTACAGTATGTTTACCAGGTATTTTCTATTTTTTCAAAACTATTTTTTCTTTCATGTGACTACTAAAATTAATTTATATTTTGTTGCTTACCTGAAGTGAACATCATCTATGAAAATACTAAAGATGGATGGGTAACATTATAAGAAGCAATAAGGAACCAGTTTTACATTTTAGAGAATGTGTGATCTATACAGTAATGAAATATGCTCAAATAAATAAGGAGATAATGAAATTATAGTTTTTTTATCCTAAAATGTCCTTCATCTATGAAAAATAAATAAGATTTGGTTATGGCCTATGCCATCTCTTTTAAACAATCCTTTGTTGATTGGGATAGGATTTGCTGAAATAACAATTTGGTTTCTATTTAATGTTGTTTGTTTCTAAATACAACAAATAAAATAACATATAATACCTGTAATCTGAAAATACCTGACTTTATGAAATGTTGTTAAATAAATTTTAAAAAGTTAATTAACTTTTGTTCCAAAATTTAAAATGGATTTTTATAAGTATACAGTAATTTCAAAATAACAAAAACATTTCAAGTATCTTAGCAACACTTTCTTATATTCTACAAAATCTTAAGTATATAAAAGTCATTATTAGCAGATATAATTATGCATTTGCTGATGGTTATGTGTAATTGGCAAAAGGTTTTTTTTAAAAACAATCTACTTAAATACAGCAGGAAACATAAAAATGATTTTCTTTTGAGCAAGTACCACATATAGAAGTATATACCAAAAAAAAAATCCGGAAATGTTCCTAGAAATAGGAGACAACCAAATATCCAGTAAGTTGGAAATGGGTAAGTTATAGTAACATAGTAGAATGTCTAAAAGCCATTAAAATTACATGTAGGCATACAATATTGGAACATAAGAAGTATATATAAGATACAAATGTGTGAAAAAGACCAAAACAATGCCAAGATGAAGAGAAGGATATATAATTAGCTGATATTTTAAAAGTAAAGAATCTTTCATTTTTCTATTTAAAGCAAGTTACTTTACAATGAATTTTTAAAAATAAGACATTAGCAAAGATTTTCAGAAATCTAAATGCTGTCAGAATTAAAAAGTCATCTATTAAATTAAAGGAAGCACAGTAACATGAAAAGAGAATAAAGAAACTTGGGTTCAAATAGTTGATTTTATTGTTTTCACTTAATATATCTTAGAGTTTATTGCACACCAGTAACTATAGATCAACCTCATTCTCTCTAAAGGTAACATAAAGTTTATTTTGAGAAGACTAATACTAACTTTTCTCATTTTAAAAAATTAAGATATGATTTACATAAATTTTACTCTTTTTAGTGTGTATAAGTTTTGACCAATGTATACATTCAAGAGTAATTTTTATTGATACTGCAAAATTGCCCTCTTGAGAAGTTGTACCAGTTCACTCTCCCACAGTTATTTATGAGTACTTGCTTTTCTATAGCCTTATCAATTCATATGTGTCATCAAATGCTTTGATCTTTGCCAATATGTTAGTGAAAGTGGCATTGTGTTATAATTTAAATTTTTATTTCTTTTATTATGATAAAGCCAAGCATCTTATATATAAGATCCATTAATAGTTCCTTTTCTTGAATTCTCCATATTTTTTGGGGGGGTGCTCATTTTCCTTTTGTGGGTTGGCCTTCTTTTCATGAATGCTAGACTTCAGTTTTGGGGGATTTTGTTTATTTCTTTCTTTGTTTGAGACAGGATTTCACTTTGGTGCCTAGGCTGGAGTGCAGTGGCAAGATCATGACTCACTGTGGCCTCAACCTCCCTGGAATCAAAGAATGCTCCCACCTCAGCCTCCTGAGTAGCTGGGACTACAGGCACCCACCAACACGCCCAACTAATTCTTGTATTTTTTTGTGGAGATGGGGTTTTGCCATGTTGCCCAGGCTGGTCTTGAACTCCTGGGCTCAAATGATCCACCCGCCTCGGCCTCCCCAAATGCTGGGATTACAGGCGTGAAACACTACACCTGGCTGAATGCTTGACTTCGGATAAGTTACTTAATGATTTCTGAGGTTGTTTGCAACTATAAAAATGCATTTGTGAAAAATGAATGGTTTTACAAAATAATTACAGTTAAATATGAATTATCTGGATGATAAATCTAAAAAAGAACTTACTTTGAAACTGTTATTCATATTGTTTGTTACTCTGTTTAATAAAAATGTTTGTGAAATCTAAAGTGAAGTGCCAACATTGGGTATTTTCACTATTTCGTCAACAACAGAGAAGAAAGTTTAACCTTACACATTTTCAGTTGGAAAATAAGTACTTTCGGGAAATGATGTTGTAAAGTTATGAACCAATTATTGCACTGGGAGATGAAGTTCATGTTCAGTATAGAGTGAGCAACAACAAGCAATTGAGGCAAAATATCTTTACATAAAGTTTTACTATTTTGTTTGATGAAATGAGAATTCCCGAAATTTATTAGACGCTTATATTCAAATTATGAACATAAAAACCTTACAAATTCAGATGTAGATAATCTCCTTTCTGTAGGTTTATATCATTCAAAAATGATTATATATTATCATTTTAAAATGACAAAAACATTTTAAGTAACTATTGAAAATTAACAGGAATTCAAAACTATTCTTTAAACTCTTCCTAAGTCGATAAAGTTGTTTTTTTAAAAAGAAAAATGGTTATTCTTCAAATAGTCCACTTGAGGAGGATTCAATTTAATCTCATTTCCTTTATGGCCTAAAAAATAAGGCACAAAGAAAAAGATATTATGGAAGGAAAAAGGCACAAAGGAAAAGATATCACATGTCAAGGCTGACTAGTCCAAGTTTTATAGCTGGGCTTCTAAATGAAAACCGGACTGACAAAGATAAAAGATAAAATCGTACAAGTTTTAGGACTTTTAGAATATTGATATTTATCCTAGTAAACAAATATAAATAAAATCTGGTAACATTAACATAAAGTTATTTTCTACATTTAAAATTTGTTCAATTTTCTAAAACTAAGTATTTTTACCTTACCTTAGTGTTCCATCATTTCATAGACAGCACAACCTAAATTACACACTCTTCATCTACTGTCCTGAGACTGAAAAACAGATGTAGATTCAGAAGAATGTGAAATTTTAATGGCCCCATTGGATAAGCAAATGAGTTCACTCAATGAAGATAAATCCCCATAGGCAATTCCTTCCCAAGAATAGTCTTGGCTTTTCCTTTAGTCAATTTTCAGTGAACCTAATTTAATTGAAATACAACTTTATATACTGTGGAGGATGTATTGAGCTAAAACCCTAAGTCTTTAGGCCATTTAAAAATGGAGTAACAACACCCATATTAGATGTGACTATGGATAGTAATGGACAAAGATAAATCTTGCAAGAAAGGGTGGTGTAGAGCCAGGGACCACAGAGAACAATGGACTTCTTTCCAATGATCAGAATTAAAATTGATTCAAGAAATATTTTCTCCTGCCAGAGCAGAGGCTTTTTCCAGTTCTTACCCTGTAGGATTTCATTACTGCTATGAACCGGCAACTGTTCTGTATTTTCTGCTATTCCTTTTTCAAAATAGGTAAGCTTATTGTATTTATCCTACTCCTGCTGTACCACTGTATTTTGCATCTCCGATGTTGTATGTGTGTCTGTTTGTATCAGGTGTGTGTCTGGGTGGCGGGAGGGTAGTTGCAGTGACCAGAGGAATCTAAATCCAGATTCTCATAGAAGGACATGCACCACCAGCAGTCCTGGAATTTGAGATAAATACAGTTGGGTTGTCCACTTTGGGAAGGGGATGAGTAAACTTTATGTGAGGGAAGAAGAAGGCTATTCAGCTATCAGAAGGGTAAACTACAGTAGAGTCTGTTAAGTGCTAATCAAGCTCATTTCCTTTTCCTCTTGGGCCCATAGCTAAGCTACATTTTCCCACCTTTCTTTCAGATTGATGTACAAGTGATTGAGTGGCAGCCAATGGAATGTGGGTGGTCCATTAAAAACCTACTATGCTTGATTCAACATTCTCTTCTCCTATCCGCTAGTTTGAATAACGGATTCTGGGGCCCTCGGAATGATAAACCTACAAAGTAAAAGTTGTGTCTCAAATGTCTTCCAATCGGCTTGATACGAACTAGGAATAAACTTTTTGGTATTAAGGCACTGCAATTGTGAGGTTCATTTGTTACACTCGTATACAGCATGCATTATTCTAAGTAAAATGGTGAGTATCATATTTAGATTCCATTTGAACGTTTGAAAGTAAAGCTTATTCTCGACAAGATGGCCACACCGGCGGTACCAGCAAGTGCTCCTCCGGCCACGCCAGCCCCAGTCCCGGCGGCGGTCCCAGCCTCTGCCCCAGCCTCAGTTCCAGCGCCAACGCCAGCACCGGCTGCGGCTCCGGTTCCCGCTGCGGCTCCAGCCTCATCCTCAGACCCTGCGGCAGCATCGGCTACAACTGCGGCTCCTGGCCAGACCCCGGCCTCAGCGCAAGCTCCAGCGCAGACCCCAGCGCCCGCTCTGCCTGGTCCTGCTCTTCCAGGGCCCTTCCCCGGCGGCCGCGTGGTCAGGCTGCACCCAGTCATTTTGGCCTCCATTGTGGACAGCTACGAGAGACGCAACGAGGGTGCTGCCCGAGTTATCGGGACCCTGTTGGGAACTGTCGACAAACACTCAGTGGAGGTCACCAATTGCTTTTCAGTGCCGCACAATGAGTCAGAAGATGAAGTGGCTGTTGACATGGAATTTGCTAAGAATATGTATGAACTGCATAAAAAAGTTTCTCCAAATGAGCTCATCCTGGGCTGGTACGCTACAGGCCATGACATCACAGAGCACTCTGTGCTGATCCATGAGTACTACAGCCGAGAGGCCCCCAACCCCATCCACCTCACTGTGGACACAAGTCTCCAGAACGGCCGCATGAGCATCAAAGCCTATGTCAGCACTTTAATGGGTGTCCCTGGGAGGACCATGGGAGTGATGTTCACACCTCTGACAGTGAAATACGCATACTATGACACTGAACGCATCGGAGTTGAGCTGATCATGAAGACCTGCTTTAGCCCCAACAGAGTGATTGGACTCTTAAGTGACTTGCAGCAAGTAGGAGGGGCATCAGCTCGCATCCAGGATGCCCTGAGTACAGTGTTGCAATATGCAGAGGATGTACTGTCTGGAAAGGTGTCAGCTGACAATACTGTGGGCCGCTTCCTGATGAGCCTGGTTAACCGAGTACCGAAAATAGTTCCCGATGACTTTGAGACCATGCTCAACAGCAACATCAATGACCTTTTGATGGTGACCTACCTGGCCAACCTCACACAGTCACAGATTGCCCTCAATGAAAAACTTGTAAACCTGTGAATGGACCCCAAGCAGTACACTTGCTGGTCTAGGTATTAACCCCAGGACTCAGAAGTGAAGGAGAAATGGGTTTTTTGTGGTCTTGAGTCACACTGAGATAGTCAGTTGTGTGTGACTCTAATAAACGGAGCCTACCTTTTGTAAATTAAAAAAAAAAAAAAAGTAAAGCTTATTGTAAAAAGCTTTATTGTAAACAATTTTATGTAAAAAGCCAAACATTTACAATATGCCTAAAGCATATCCTTTGGAACTAAACTTACAATGAAAAATTTTAGATGTCAACAGAAATATATGCAATCAAAAATATTAATTTAGAGAATATTCATGTAACTGAAAACATTTAAAGACCACTGCTCTGATGCACCGTAATTATTCTTCCATTAGTTTCTATGATAAAACCTGAATGATATAGTGCAGATTAAGGATGCACACTCAGACACATTCAATGAGTCTAAAACAACTACCCTGAGATAAACAATTATAAATAATATTGTCTATTTATCAAAGTTTTTTTCTGTTGAACTTCCATTTGAAAACACTTCATTAGCCTCTTGTTACTGTGGAGTAATGAAACCGAATACCTTTAGGAACACTAATTACTACAGACTGGTAACAAATTCATGCTGAATTTCTGGAATATTTTATTACACCTAAGTTTGCTCTTGCCTTTTTTATTCCTTATTTCTAAGGTCAATAATTCTGAACATCTAAAAATCTCAGAAAGGGCTGGGCATGGCGGCTCATGCCTGTAATCTCAGCATGTTGGGAGGCCGAGGCCGTTGGATTACTTGAGCCCAGGATTTCGAGGTCAGCCTGGCAACGTGGCAACATTTGTCTCTATAAAAAATACAAAAAATTAGCTGGGTGTGATGGTGCATGCTTGTGGTCCCAGCTACTCTGGGGGCTAAGGTGAGAGGATTGCTTGAGCCTAGGAGGCAGAGATTGCAGTGAGCTAAGATTATGCCACTGCACTCCAGCCTGGGTAACAGAACAAGACCCTGTCTCAAAGAAATAAAAATAAAATGAAATAAAAAATAAAAACCCCAGAAGGTAGAAAAAAGTCATTAAAATGAGAAAAAACTTATCAAGAATTAAAGCTTTTAAGCTTTTGGGGAAAAAATGCATTTTAAACTGACTTTTAAAATCTTTGCAACAGCAGTCCAAGTGGATGATTCCAATGGACCAATATGTTAGCATACTTTTATTGTTTAAGAAAAAGGAAAAAGGCTTTTGTGTTAAAAGTAAATTAATTTATCTTATGATATAATCAATTTTCTATGTGCCTCAGATTTGTTTATTACCAAAGTATTTTAAAACCCACATTATTTTGCTATTCTAATTATCTTAAAGTAGACTGTTTTCCAGATGTATACAAAACTTCAACATCAAAGTAACTTAATGCCGGTAAAATAGAAATGTATATCTGATGCAATCAATAATTTCTCTGTACCAAATCTTCCTAATGAACTTATTTCATGAAAAGAAATTCTTTTTTTAGCAACTAAAATGATCTAATGACTACATTTAAATATTTTGACTACTTATCTTTTCAATAATCATGTCTTTTTTTTTTTTTTCTGAGACGGGGTCTTGCTCTTTTGGCTAGGCTGGAGTGCGGTGGCACAGTCAGGCTCACTGCAGCCTCAATCTCCCAGGCTCAGGCAATCCTCCTTCCTCAGCCTCCTGAGTAGCTGGGATCACAGGCGTGGGCCACCACGCCCAACTAATTTTTTTTATTATTTGTAGAGACAGGGTCTCCCTATGGTGCCCAGGCTGGTCTCCAACTCCTCGGCTCAAGCAATCCTCCCAACTCAGCCTCCCAGAGTGCTGGGATTATAGGCATGAGCCACCACGCCGGGCCAGTCTTTTCTATTTAAAACATTACCAAAAATGGACACAGTTAAAATGATCTTAGTCATTGATTTACATAGGAAGAAGGTGGGTTTTTTCTGAATTAGGTAATTGAGACAAAAACAGCACCAATTGGCCTGACTTATCCAAATGGGAAATTTTTTGGTAGAATTTACCTCATGACTGGCAAACTTCTACTTTATCATTTTTAAGGATGAGGTGCTGTGCTGCCCACATTCTCCTCAGGACTGATTGACATTGCCTCACCTGCTGAGAAGGTTGTCCAGCCACAGTGCTCAACTGCCAGCTTTTTCTGTGAATTGACCTTTGCTGAAAAGTGAGCTGAATGCTTAAAGTCAATGCTCAAGTTCCCAGGTTGGCACTGATTTAATGCCTGCCAGTGCAGGAGTAAGAAGGCTGTGCCCCCTCCTTCCAATAGAGAATAACTCTGAAGGGCTATCTCAGCTTCAGATCTCCTTTTACAATCAGATGATGCCTTTTTGTGCCTAAATCCCAGTCCAGCTTCTCCCTCCAGTCATCCCGGCTTCCTTCCCTTTTCCCACAGGTGTTGACTCCACCAGGGGTCCCAAGAAACTTCCTTCTCAGAAACTCTCTTTCTTTCTTTTTTTTTTTTTTCCTTTTGAGACAGGGTCTCACTTTGTTACCCAGGCTGGAATGCACTGGCACCATCATGGCTTACTGCAGCCTCAACCTCCTGGGCTTAAGCAATCTTCCCACCTCAGCCTTCTGAGTTGCTGGGACTACAGGCATGCATCACAACACCTGGTTAATGTTTTATTTGTTGTAGAGGCAGGGTCCCACTATGTTGCCCAGGCTTAACCCAAACCTCTGGGCTCAAGGAAATCCTTCCGCCTCAGTATCCCAAAGTGCTGGGATTACAGGTGTGAACCACCACACCTGGCCTAAACATTCTCTCTCACAGACTGCTTCATAGACAATCCAACCAGTGATGATCATAAAATAATATTTGAATAAATATATTTGCAGGGTAGCTGATGCTGTTGTTTAAGACTAATGATTTAATAAGGGTGATTACTTTCATTTGTATATTTTTCAAAACTCCTTCATATACATTATGTAATTTGGGCTTGCCAATTATTCTGCGAGGTAGCCTGAGCAAGGATTACTATACATTTTACAGTTTTGTAAACTAAGGCTTGGAGAGAAGTGGCTTCTTGATTCCAGGCAGACATAATTTCTATTTTCTCCTAGTTTTATTATTTGCCTATAGCACCGTTTCTCTAAAAGACTTTTATTCCTAATTGTTATAAAATTCTAGCTCAAAATTTCTTATCATATTCCCCAACCCAAGAATGCATAGTAAGTTCCTACTCATCCTGGCAGTATGAAATTCAATGTCATAACTGTATTTGAATGTTTTTCAAGATCTTACTCCCAATTCTTTGTCCACACACTTTATATTGCCTTCTTCCATTTATTTTTTAACGTGTTTATTGAGCAACTGCTGTAAATGCAGCATAACATTTCTTGAGAACTTACTATGTGCTAAGCACTATAGTGAGTGTTTTTCATGCATTATCTCATTGAATCTCTGTTGACAGTTCTATCATCTCCATTATATAAATGAGAAAACTGAGGCTTAGGGAACTTAAATGATTTTCCCAAGGTCACACAACTAGTATGTCACAACACTAGGACTCAAACTTAGGTTTATCTAATTCTGAAATCCATGCTCTTTGCCTCTGTACTAGACCTCTATGATACAAGAAAAAAGATAACATAAGATGTAGCTCCTACTCTCTGCTCTCTAACTACACTCTACTGTGCTCCTACTCTCACTATACTATATAGTGTCTTCCTAATATTAGGAAGACACTATAGCACTTGATTATATTTTTATAACAGTTTTATTGATACATAATTCATATATCATATAACCATCCCTTTAAATTGTATAATTCAAGCATTTTAACTAATTCACAGAGTGGTGCAACCATCATTACCATCAATTTTAGAACATTTTTTATCCCCCCAAAGAAACCCCATACTTATTAACTGTCACTCCCTATTTCCCCTACCTGCACCCCCAGGCAAACAGTAATCTACTTTGTGTCTCTATAGATTTGCCTATTCTCTACATTTCATATAAATTGAATTATACAGTAAGTGGTCTTTTGCAACTGGTTGCTTTCACTTAGCATAATGTTTTCAGGGTTCATCCATGTTGTAGCTCCTATCAGTCCTTCAATTATGATTGAATATTGTTCCATTGTATGGATATGTCATATTTTATTTACTAACCACTTATCAGTAGATGGACATTTTGGTGGTCTCCACTTTTGGGCTATTAAGAATAATGCTGCTAAGAACATTCATGTACAAGATTTATGTGGTTATGTTTTTATTTCTCTAGAGTATATACCTAGAATGTAACTGCTGGGTCATAAAGTAATTCTGGAGATATTTAACCTTTTAAAGAACTGTCATCCTGTTTTCCAAAATGCTGCACTGTTTTACATTCTCACCAGCAGTATATCAGTTCCAATTTCTTCACATACTCCTCAAGAGTTGTTGTTATATCCCTGTTTGATTATAGTCATCTTCGTTGGTGTGAAGTGATGCCTTCAGTGTGGTTTATTTGCATTTTCCCACTGGCTAATGATATTGAGCATCTTTTCATATGCTTATTAGGCATTTGTATACCTTATTTTTAGCTTATGGCTCCCATTATGAGACCTACACGGTATAAGCAAGCTGAAGCGCACGATCAGAGACCCTAATGTTCCGTGCCATGCTGCACCTAGGATAGGACCTATTAGTAGGGGCTAGATGGAGGAAAGGAGTCTGACTTCTTAGGTGCACTCACCAGAATCTAGGCTCTGCAGCTTGGAGCTAGAGGGGATAAGAAATGCCGGTGGCGGCTGGGCGCCGTGGCTCACACCTGTAATCTCAGCCGTTTAGGAGGCGGAGGCGGGTGGATCACGAGGTCAGGAGATGGAGTTCATCCTGGCTAACACGGTGAAACCCTGTCTCTACTAAAAAATACAAAAAAAAAAAAAAAATCAGCCGGGCGTGGTGGCGGGTGCCTGTAGTCCCAGCTACTTGGGAGGCTGAGGCAGGAGAATGGTGTGAACCTGGGAGGCGGAGCTTGCAGTGAGCCAAGATCACACCACTGCACTCCAGCCTGGGCAACAGAGTGAGACTCCGTCTCAAAAAAAAAAAAAGAAAAAAAAGAAATGCCTGTGGCCTGCCTCTCCCAGTGAGATTTTGTACCCATAACTGTGAACTGAGGGGAGAGGGAGCACCATTTTGGTGAAAACCATCCAAAGTAGAGCTTCTGTCATGCTGAGCTAGAAGGCAGAAGAGAAACAATGTGTTATGGCTCAAGTGACACAGATGCCATCATTGCTGAGATTTAGTAGAGTTTCTTGAATAACTGTTTCCTACTTTAAGAAGAAACTGTATGCCCTTAAGACAATTTCCAAAGACATTAAATGTTTTGTTTTGTTTTTTTAAATAATTTTCACCAGTTGTGGTAGTATCACTGGGGAATGGTCTCCAACAGGTTCTCCTGCCTTTTTTCCAGAAGTGGAACTCTCACTTGATTATATTTTTAATGTAAGGAGTTCAGAGAGGGGATCTCGGAAGTCAAACTGAATGAATGGACTTGAGTCCAGACTCTGAAAGTTACTAGTGTATTATTGGGGGAAAATTACTTAACTCCTCTTTCCCCCTATTTTCTTATCTCTTAAATATGGAATAACAAAATATATACCTTTAGGACTGTTGGGAGGATTAATAAGATATATGTAACATGGCTTAGTACATAGCTCTCAATAGATGTTAGCAATTATTAAAAATAATGTTAGTATTATTATAGTTATAATTATTAGGATATCCCACCAGAAATTAAACTTGTAAGGTTTCTTCTTTCTTTCCCATTGAGAGAGATGCCCACAGAGGACAAGTTACTCTGAGGCATTGTGATTAGTTCTACTTTTCAAAGGGAAGTGTTTGGCTTATCTGGAGTCCCATAAGGTTAGCTAAGTCAAAAATGGCTTGGTACATCTACTTTCCTGAAAAGGATATACATGAATTAGATATTTTTTTTCAGAGTCAAAAATGATAGCTATACCATCTGATATGGTTTGGCTGTGTCTCTATCCAAATCATCTTGAACTGTAGTTCCTGTAATCCCCATGTGTTTGTTGTGGGAGGGACCCAGTGGGAGGTAACTGAATTATGGAGGTGGTTACCCTCATGCTGTTCTAGTCATAGTGAGTTCTCACAAGATCTGATGGTTTGATTAGGGGCTTCCCCCTACACTCAGAACTCATTCTCTCTCCTGCTGCCCTGTGAAGAGGTGATTTCCACCATGATTGCAAGTTTCCTGAGGCCTCCCCAGCCATGTGGAACTGCAAGTCAATTAAACCTCTTTCCTTTATAAATTACCCAGTCTCGGGTATGTCTTTTTTAGCAGTGTGAGAATAATACAGCATCCCTGATGATATGTATCTCTAAGGGTAGTCGATACAGGATCACAAGAAGCAGGCAGAAGAACCAGTTCTAATGCCATGATTCTGGGGTGGCTGGAGTGAGGAAGGGAGTGTTTTTTGCCCCATGGACTGGAAGAGCCACACCTTAAAAACTCTGAATCTGGGAACCCAATCAAAGGCACACTGACAGAACTCAGGATTGGCAGGGTGATATTTCTCCCTCTAAGATCTATAGTAGCCTGTGTACAGTGTTTCAACAACAGCAGACCTGAATGCCCTAAAACAATGGTTTTCGACTGGGGCAATGTTGACCCCCAGGGGACATTTGGCAATGCTTGGAGACAGTTTGGTTATCACAACTTGTGTGTGGGGAGTACTACTGGTGTCTAGTAGATAGAAGCCAAGGATGTTGCTAAACATCCTACAACGCACAAAGTGACCTCCCTCAACAAAGAATAATCCCCCCAAAATGTCAAATGTGCCTAGGTTGAGAAACCCTGCACTATAGGGATGTACATTAAGACTCTCCAGATGCCAGGCTTGGTTACTAGCCTTACTTGCGACAATCATCAGACTCTAGGTTCTCCCTGTTTGGTGTGTATGTCAGCCAGGATTGGCTCTGTTTTCCAGTGCTAACGAACAATTCTAAATCTCAGTGGCTTAATACAACAAAATTTATCTCTTGCTCATGCTGCATTCCAACACAGGTTGAAACACCACCACAGCAGCAGAGGGCAGGGAAGGACAAATCAAGTAGTAGGCTTTAAAGGCTTCTTCAGGGAAGTGAAACATGTCATTCCTGCTCACATTTCATTGGTCAAAGCAAGCACCATAGCCACTTCTTTCTTCAGGGGAGCAGAAAAGTACATACCCCTTTGTGCTCAGGAGAACCAGTATATTTGGTTAATAGCTCTAATGACTATCGTAAAGTGACTATCTTTCTGGTTACCCTTTTTAGATTGTGTAAGCCTCTGGAACCTTGGAAAATTAGGAGGAAGGAGCAAGAGGAAAATATTTTTTATTTTTATTTATTGTACATGGTTTTTAAGGTCTACTTTAGGTATTACTTTAGATGTATAATTGTCATCTCAGATTGTCTGTGCCAAAATTGAATCTCCAGAAAATGACCATTTAATAATTCCTGAAGAAATAAGTGACTTAAACAATAAGCCTCAAGAGATGCTTAAACCTCTTTAAGCATGAAAGATTGTAATGAAAGGTAGTAATGAAAGATATATACATATGATACAAAATTGTCAACTTTATAATGGTATAATCAGGACATGACATTCTATAACTAAAAGCAGGACATTATGTGTCAACTGATATGCTGCAATGTAAAGTACAGCACCAAAAATAGATTTGACCTGAATCCAATCATGCTTTTGGATATAACTCCTAGTTTACAGAAAAAAAAGGGGGTGGGTGGGTAAAGGAACCAGTTAAATGACATCAGGAGGAAGTGATCAGGCAAATCTGGAATGTCAAATATACAATTGGACAACTGACCCAATTCCTTCAGCTGGGCAATGGCATGAGGAGAAAAAAGGCAGAATGGGACTGGACTGCTCTAGTTTAAAAGAGACTTAAGAAATAAAAGACTCAAGAGCAATATGAAACTTTGTCCGTTTTCTGCTGCTATAATAGAAAACCACAGACCGAGTAATTTATAAGGAAAATAAATTTAACGGCCGGTGCAGTGACTCACACCTATAATCCCAGCACTTTGGGAGGCCAAGGCAGGTGGATCACCTGAGGTCAGAAGTTCAAGACCAGCCTGGCCAACATGGCGAAACCCCATTTCTACTAAAAATACAAAAATTAGCCAGGTGTGGGGGCAGGTGCCTGTAATCCCAGCTATTTGGGAGGCTGAGGTG
Source organism: Homo sapiens (assembly GCF_000001405.40). NCBI lineage: Eukaryota > Metazoa > Chordata > Mammalia > Primates > Hominidae > Homo > Homo sapiens. The sequence continues at coordinate 58,260,732 of NC_000002.12, forward strand.
GGAGAATCGCTTGAACTCAGGAGGCGGAGGTTGCAATGAGAAGAGACCATACACTCCAGCCTGGGCCACAAGGGCAAAACTCCGTCTCCAAAAAAAAAAGGAAGAAATTTTATCAGGAGTCCACTCCTATGATAAGTAACCCACACTTGTGACTATAGTGTGAACCCATTCACGAAGGCAGAGCCCTCTAGACCCATTTGCTGTTTAAGGGCCTCACCTTCCAATACCATTAGGTTGGCAACTAAATTTCAAATAAGTTTTGGAGGGGACATTTAAATCATAACAGAAACCTTGTTTGAATCCTGATTTGAACACACCAGCTCTGTGAGAATATTCATTTTTCCCAGAAAATACAGAGTTCTGGATTGGTGAAGTATTGGTAATGGTATAAACATCTAAGATTAGGAACAATGGAGGAGAAATGAATATATTTTGTATGTAACAAGTTAAAATGTAGGTTCTTGGGAAACCTTTATGTACAGACAACCATAAGCCAATGGTTCTCAACTGACGACAAATTTAAACCCCAGGGGAAATTTGATAATATCTGAATTCATTTTTGTTTGTCATAATGGGGGTGTAGGGAATATTAATGGCTTCCTGTGGGTAGATGCCTAGAATGCTGCTAAACACCCTACAATGCATGGGAGGGTCACCACAACAAAGAATGATTCACCCTAAAATGTCAATAGTACAAAGGTTAGGAAACACTCAATAGGCAATCAAATGTAAGCACAAAGAAGGTAGGGACTAGAATTGGTTTACTTGCTGTGAGCTTGGGCACAGATCCTGGCATATGGTAAGTGTGAAAATACCTGATAATCTCTTTTATATTGTGTAAGCCTCCAGATTCTTGACAAATTAGGGAGAGGAAGCAAAGAGACATTGTTTTGAGGAGGGAAGCTCAGAGAAAGTTCTTAGAATGATTTATAAATGTATGTTATCAGCATATAAGTGGTACTAGAAACCTTGGGAGTTGATGAAAGAAAAACTTCAGCTGAATTAAATTTAATTGAGCTACGAATGATTCATGAATCGGGCAGCCTCTGAGACAGAATAGGTTCAGAGACTCCAGTGCAGCCACATGGTGGAAGATTTACAGACAGAAAAAGGAAAGTGATGTACAGAAAACAGAAGTAAGGTACATAAACAACTGGATTGGTTATAGCTCCATGTTTGCCTTATTTGAGCACAGTTTGAACAGTTGGCTACATTTGATTGGCCAAAACTCAGTGATTGGCACAAGTGTAGGCTACAGTCTGTTTACATCTCCATGGATGTTATAGTTCACAACGCATGGAGAAACCTTTAGGCTGAACTTAAAATATGTAAGGAGTTTAGCCTTAGGCTAAATTTGATTTAATAACAGTGAATGAGGATTTTTTGGCGGTAGTTCTCAAACCTCCTTGTGGATCAAAATTATTTGGGCAGGTTTGAAAAAATGCAATGCTTGGTCTAACCCCAGAAATTCTTATTTAAATTTTTGGGAGTGGGGAGTGTGACTAGCATCATATTAAAACAACAACAACAATTTAAAAACCTCCTTTTATTATTTTAATGTGCAATCACATTAAAATGGTGTTGAAATCTAAAATTTCTTCCTTTCCCCAGAACACAAATAAGCTGTATTCATTATGATGGCTTCATTCATAAGACGTACTACATTCAATATGGAAGCTCAAGCAGTTGGCTGTCATTTTAACAGTTCTTTTTTTTTTTTTTTTTTTTTTTTTTTTGGTTTGCTAAAGCAAACCCTTGGCCTCATTTGGTGAAATAAAAGGCCAGAAAGTCCTTGGCAAAGCATAGAAGAAAGAATGTAAAGAATTTAGGAGATAAGCCTAACTCATTGTATGAGGCCAGCATCATCCTGATACCAAAGCCGGGCAGAGACACAGCCAGAAAAGAGAATTTTAAACCAATAACCTTGATGAACATTGATGCAAAAATCCTCAATAAAATACTGGCAAACCAAATCCAGCAGCACATCAAAAAGCTTATCCACCATGATCAAGTGGGCTTCATCCCTGGGATGCAAGGCTGGTTCAATATACGCAAATCAATAAATGTAATCCAGCATATAAACAGAGCCAAAGACAAAAACCACATGATTATCTCAATAGATGCAGAAAAGGCCTTTGACAAAATTCAACAACACTTCATGCTAAAAACTCTCAATAAATTAGGTATTGATGGGACGTATCTCAAAATACTAAGAGCTATCTATGACAGACCCACAGCCAATATCATACTGAATGGGCAAAAACTGGAAGCATTCCCTTTGAAAAACGGCACAAGACAGGGATGCCCTCTCTCACCATTCCTATTCAACATAGTGTTGGAAGTTCTGGCCAGGGCAATTAGGCAGGAGAAGGAAATAAAGGGTATTCAATTAGGAAAAGAGGAAGTCAAATTGTCCCTGTTTGCAGACGACATGATTGTATATCTAGAAAACCCCATTGTCTCAGCCCAAAATCTCCTTAAGCTGATAAGCAACTTCAGCAAAGTCTCAGGATACAAAATCAATGTACAAAAATCACAAGCATTCTTATACACCAACAACAGACAAACAGAGAACCAAATCATGAGTGAACTCCCGTTCACAATTGCTTCAAAGAGAATAAAATATGTAGGAATCCACCTTACAAGGGATGTGAAGGACCTCTTCAAGGAGAACTACAAACCACTGCTCAAGGAAATAAAAGAGGATACAAACAAATGGAAGAACATTCCATGCTCATGGGTAGGAAGAATCAATATCATGAAAATGGCCACACTGCCCAAGGTAATTTGTAGATTCAAGGCCATCCCCATCAAGCTACAAATGACTTTCTTCACAGAATTGGAGAAAACTACTTTAAAGTTCATATGGAACCAAAAAAGAGCCCACATTGCCAAATCAATCCTAAGCCAAAAGAACAAAGCTGGAGGCATCACGCTACCTGACTTCAAACTATACTACAAGGCTACAGTAACCAAAACAGCATGGTACTGGTACCAAAACAGAGATATAGATCAATGGAACAGAACAGAGCCCTCAGAAATAACGCCGCATATCTACAACTATCTGATCTTTGACAAACCTGAGAAACACAAGCAATGGGGAAAGGATTCCCTATTTAATAAATGGTGCTGGGAAAACTGGCTAGCCATATGTAGAAAGCTGAAACTGGATCCCTTCCTTACACCTTACACAAAAATTAATTCAAGATGGATTAAAGACTTAAACGTTAGACCTAAAACCATAAAAACCCTAGAAGAAAACCTAGGCATTACCATTCAGGACATAGGCATGGGCAAGGACTTCATGTCTAAAACACCAAAAGCAATGGCAACAAAAGCCAAAATTGACAAATGGGATCTAATTAAACTAAAGAGCTTCTGCACAGCAAAAGAAACTACCATCAGAGTGAACAGGCAACCCACAAAATGGGAGAACATTTTCGCAACCTACTCATCTGACAAAGGGCTAATATCCAGAATCTACAATGAACTCAAACAAATTTACAAGAAAAAAAAAAAAACCACATCAAAAAGTGGGTGAAGGAAATGAACAGATACTTCTCAAAAGAAGACATTTATGCAGCCAAAAAACACATGAAAAAATGCTCACCATCACTGGCCATCAGAGAAATGCAAATCAAAACCACAATGAGATATCATCTCACACCAGTTAGAATGGCAATCACTAAAAAGTCAGGAAACAACAGGTGCTGGAGAGGATGTGGAGAAATAGGAACACTTTTACACTGTTGGTGGGACTGTAAACTAGTTCAACCATTGTGGAAGTCAGTGTGGCGTTTCCTCAGGGATCTAGAACTAGAAATACCATTTGACCCAGCCATCCCATTACTGGGTATATACCCAAAGGACTATAAATCATGCTGCTATAAAGACACATGCACACGTATGTTTATTGCAGCACTATTCACAACAGCAAAGACTTGGAGCCAACCCAAATGTCCAACAATGATAGACTGGATTAAGAAAATGTGGCACATATACACCATGGAATACTATGCAGCCATAAAAAATGATGAGTTCATGTCCTTTGTAGGGACATGGATGAAATTGGAAATCATCATTCTCAGTAAACTATCGCAAGAACAAAAAACCAAACACCGCATATTCTCACTCATAGGTGGGAATTGAACAATGAGAACACATGGACACAGGAAGGGGAACATCACACTCTGGGGACTGTTGTGGGGTGGGGGGAGGGGGAAGGATAGCATTGGGAGATATACCTAATGCTAGATGACGAGTTAGTGGGTGCAGCGCACCAGCATGTCACATGTATACATATGTAACTAACCTGCACATTGTGCACATGTACCCTAAAACTTAAAGTATACTAAAAAATAAATAAATAAATAAATAAATTAAAGAATTTAGGAGATAAGGAAGTAGATTAAACGGGTCATGTGCTTCACTCCTATATACTGCTAGGGCCATAAAAAGTTCTCTCCCTTGCCAGTAAAAATAGAACAAAAAAGAGAAATACCCAAATATTTAAAAAGTGCTCTGCTGGCTTTTTTTTTTTTTTCCTGGGCTGGGAATGCTTGTGGAAGGAGCAACAATAAAATTTGTATTCCTGATCTCAGTGGGGATATGAGAAGCCAGCCGAGGCATGGCCCAGGTGATGACTATTAACAGTCTGAAGCAAAGTGGGTATAGTTTTAATAGCCAGATGCTACACTCAGGGATCAGGGAATGGCTTCAGTAGCAGAAATCTCTGGCTGTGGTTAATTTAATCATGGGGTCCCCAGGAATGAAATAGACAGACAGCCAATTAAGGTGTGTCTTGATTTATTTAACCAAAGCTATTCTAGGTCTGGTGAACAGAGGCCTCACTGGAGCCAACATGCTAGAGAATTTTGGGTTCAAAGACCCGGTACCACACAATGCAGGCGAGGCTAGTACCTATGAGGAAAGATCCTGCTGTAACACTACACAGGCACACTGTGAACCTTTTGCCTTGTCTTTCCTAATGGGGCTGGCAGTTGTTAACCTGAATATTTGTGGATTGAGGAAAGGGAAACACTTAAACTCAGGAAATACTGGATATTGGCTCAAAGTTATCACTGATTCTTAGGGACCTATAATTCCACTGTAGTCAGCAGGTAAGAGTTGGGGATTATTATGGAGCTCAGGTGATAAATGGAGTTCTGATCTGAGTTTATTGCATGGTAGGCCCAGTAGGATCCTCCAAAACATATTCTCAGATTCTGAGTGAATTGCTGGAATCGGTATTTTAGGAAACTGGCAGTTTCTTGAATCCCCACACAGTTTCCCAGACCTTTAAAGTAAGGGCTATTGTTTTAGGGAGGGCCAAGTGCAGTCATTTGACTCTCCTTACCTGCCAAAATAGAGAATGAACAAGAGCACTACAACCCCGGAAGCTGCTTCCTGAAAGGGGAAGATATGGTGATGAATTTAATAGGCCGGCTTGGCTTTTGCAGTCTGATAGGTCTTGAAGAATGATAGCAGATTATTGGAAACAACATTAGCTGAGGCTCAAATTGTGGCTGCTATTGCATTCTTTTTCCTCCTTGTTAAAATAAATTAACATATCTTTTAGCACTTTTGAGGCAGTTCTTGATCTTGCTAAAACATTTTTTTCCCATTTTGGTTTACGTGAATCACCAGAAGTTTGCTATCTTTGACAGAGGAACCCGTAATTCTTCATTGTCATGCCTCAGGGATATGTCAGCTTTCTGGCTGTAGTCTACAGCCTAGTTTGCTGAGATCTTGACCACATTACCATTTACTTTGATCCAATACCCACAAAACATCATGCTGATAGGATATGAAGATCAGGAAGTAGAAACAATTCTGAATGACTTCTTAAGTCATATGTTTGACTATGAAATTCTGTAAAAGTAAAGAGATTTGATGTGATGGTAACAGGCCTGGTGTTTGAGGATCTGTGGCATGTCTGGCTACTGCTTTCAAAATGGTTTCTAAATCTTAGATGCAACATATTTGTCTGCATTACTCTTACCACAAACAAGGTGATCCAACTTTTGTCCATCTATAATTGAGGTCCACAGTAAAAGAAAGCTTAGCACCTGGTCCAGGGTTTCAGTGCAAGTAACTCTGTCAATTGATCCTTATGACCTCCGATGGTGCTTGAACTTCTGTAATAAACTGAGATACTGAAGTGAGACTTAGTAACTCCAGGTAGGATATAAAAAGAGAACTCTCACGTTTGGACAAAGACCATGCCCTATTCAGCAGCCAATATATAGTTTGGCTCTGTGTCCCCACCCAAATCTTATCACCAATTATAATCCCCATGTGTTGAAGGAGGGACCAGGTGGGAGGTAACTGGATCATGGGGTGGGTTTCCCCCATGCTCTTCTCCTGATAGTGAGTTCTCATGAGATCTGATGGTTTAAAAATATTTAGTAGTTCCCCCTGGAGCACTCTCTCTCCTACCACCATGTAAGATGTGCCTTGCATCCCTTCACCTTTCACCTTTTTTTCTTTCTTTTTTTTTTTTTCAAACATGGGCAATTCCTGGAACTGAGGGTTCTTCCCTTTTAACTTTTTAATTTTTATTTCTTGAATCAGGGTCTCACTCTGTTACCCAGGCTGAAATTCAGTGGCATGATCTCAGCTCACTGCAGCCTCCATCACCCCAGGCTCAAGCAATCCTTCCCCTTCAGCCTCCCAAGTAGCTGGGACTATAGGTGTGTACCACCACACCTGGCTAATTTTTGTATTTTTAGTGGAGATGGGATTTCATCATGTTGCCCAGACTGGTCTCAAACTCCTAAGCTTAAACTATCTGCCCACTTCTCCCTCCCAAAGTGATGGGATTACAAGCATGAGCCACCATGCCCAGCTTCAGGTAGTTCTTTATAGCAGTGTGAAAATGGACTAATACCGTTCCTGACTTGATAATATCTTTGCAGGAGACCCTTTACCATGGGATTCCATTTAGCTTATGCTGCCAGTAGTGAATCAACACAGCTATAAAGCTTGAGGTGCCCTGAAAAATCAGATAACTGCACAGGTCCTACACGCCTATGCCTTCTCCAAATTCCCACACTGGCTTCAACTAACATCTATAGCTTAAAGGTAGTTTCCTATGAGCAATTGACTGAGAAGGTCAAGCCTTAACACCGATTTAAGGACGGTTCCACACACAATATGTCTATACCGGATAGTACAAGACTGCTGGCTCTTAGAAAATTAAAGAATAGAAATCCCTTTGGTAGGTAGAACTTGTGCTTCACATGCTAGATATTTTTCATGGAAGCAGGTTTGGCCCATAGTCAGGTCATGTAGTGATTCCTGGGCAGGAAGTAGTGATATGGGATATTTGGAAGAAACAAGATCATATGATTAGTAAAAAGCAAGCTTATGGAATACATGTATATAGAAGGTGGATTTCTTAAAATTGTCCTAGAGCCTAAAAATGGTTATGCCTCAAGTAAATACTCACCAGAAGGTCCCCAGTGGAAATGAACCCACTTTATATAATCAAGTGGCAGTATTATCTTTGGACTCAATTTGATCAATGGTCTTATCAATAGAGTGGTGTTAGGGTAGGAGATCTGAGGAAGGCAGAAGGGAGAAAATGGAAAATGCGAGAGGACCTTGAAAAACACAGGAGACATATAAAATTTCTGCCAAATGCCTCTGAAAACCCAGATGAATCCAGAGATGATGGATTTGTTGCTATGGCAGGAGCAGGTATAATTTTTTTCTTCAATATCCTGAGTGTAGGAACAGAAAAGCAGAATTGATCCAAATTTCAGAGTTTACAGGTGGCTGTAACTAGTACCACAGCTTGAGGTGAGAGTTGGAGAGCAAGTAGGGGAGCCATTGCTCTCTCTGAGAAAAATCCTCTGTTTTCCAACATTGGTAGTAGCTCTTTGAAAAAAATTTTGCAGTTAGTAGTTTGACTTGGAAGTTGTCAAGATTATGATGAAAAGGCATGAGGAAGTAGTTTGAGAGTAGGATTGTGACTGACATTAGAAAGATAATTCAAGTTTAATCATCTGTTTTTCACTAGCATCCACTGCACAGAACTAAAAAATTTGTTGTTCTGATGTCTGAAACTGGCCATGCCTGCAGGTAGTCCAGCAAGACAGGATCTAAGGCATTGAGTGTTCTGGCCACAGAGTGATTGCAATGTTATACTACAGGGCCTATGCTAAATAGTCAAAGTAAACACTTGGTAGACTAAATAAATAAATGAAAGATGAGAGGATTGTATGGGTCAAAGTGGTATAGTCTTGCCCACTCTGCTTTATCCGTTAGTATTTTCTTGACCAGTATTACAATTGTTTCTTTCCGTATCTTCACCCTACTCCTCTCATTGGAAATTCTTGCCCCCCGCCCGCCCTACCCCCCCACTGATTCATACACTAAAACTTTTCAAAACCTTTCTCAAAACTCGTCTCCAAAATCATCCTAATTACACCCTAATTTTAATCCATCCTTAATCTAGCACTGTATGAAGACTCTGCCTTATAATAACTTGACTTGATGTTTCTATGAAACTATGTTTTTACTTGTTTCATTGTTCTGTTTCATCTGTTTCATTTATTCTGCTTCCCTACCCAAACTAAACTATTGCTGGCAAGTACTCTGGCTTGGTGTGTTCACCAGTGTGCATGTTGATACAAAAGAGATGTTAAAAATGTTTTATTTGATTTGAATCATATGGATGGATATGTTCTGAATTGTTGAATCCAAGATTTTACTGATAAATCTAATTTTATATTTTTATTGGAGATGAAAAGTAAAAGTTTGAATGTTAGTTTTGCACTTTTGCTTTTTCAAAACTGAATCATATTGAAAAGCTATTTTTGCCAAAAAATAAAAATTGTGAACTTTAAATGAACTTTAAAACCCAGAAGCATTGAAACCAATAAAATGCACCTTTAGAATGCTTTAATTTAACTTGAGATTCAGCAGGAGAGTATGAACTATGTACAATTAAGACTATACCAGAGAAGAAGTAATAGTAATCATTTTTTAGAGGAGATATCATCCATAATTGAAAATTATATGGAAAAATATTAAAATATTGAAACTGTTAATAAAGGGAATGCAAGCTAATCTATGCTGCCATTGGAATAGTTCTAATACCATAAATTGTTTTATTGTTTTAATACTGACACTATTAATTAATTTAGTACTAACATTTTTCATGGGGCCTTCTTATGAACTGAATCCTTGAGTTCAGATAGATTTCATTTTGACAAATGCTGTTTTGTAATGTCACAGAAAATATTTCCTCTGGAAAAAAATACTGTGTTTACTCTGTTCATAAAATATTCTGTCAGGGCTTGATAAACTATTTTTTAAACAACCCTCAAAATAATACGTTATTTGTTTTAGGCTTACATATTTCATGGATGTTGTCAAAGATTCTGAGCATTACATATTAAAAGGCTTGTTCAATGGCAGCACATATAAGTCTAAAAATAATCTGGCATTTAAGAAACTGGACCATTTTAACCATTTCCAGATAAGATTATTTAAGTCTGATCTAGAGTAATATTTTTTAAAAGGCTATTTAACATAATTTTTATGGCCAGTTATAAATTGTGGATGGATTACTCATTCGTGCTGGGTTTTACAGAAGGAATGCTGCATTGACAGGAAGAAGGACAAGATAGATGATTCTTCTGATCCTTTTGTGCTTTGAGTTCTATAGATGAGTGAGAAAAGACACCAGGCTAGGCATCATGAAACCCAGGTTAAGCCATTATCTTCCTTGCAAATATAAATATATAGATATATATGAAAAATGTTTGTGGTCCATGCATCAATTTTTATGATGTGGTTTGGTGCTTATTATAAATTTGTTTATTATATCAAATGTTAAAATGAGATTAACAAAATATAGATCACTCACCAATGCTTAGAAACATTTTCATTATTTGGCCTCTAGTAAAATTAAAATTTTATATTAAATTTTAGCTATTTTAAGTTATTTTAGAACTTAACTTTGAAGTCTGGAAATTCTGAGTGAATTGCTCCAGGTTGCTACTTTATGTTGTTAGTGTAGACCCTGTTTGTTTTTTATTTAACCTTTAATAAAACATTGCAAAGACTATTTCTCAACTCTCCTATAAGCAACAGATACTCTTTAACAGTTATGCCTTTTATTTTTGCATGAGCAATCTATATCTACACTGAAGGTCAATTTCTGTTGCCGTATATAATGGTTAGGCACAAAATCTGGTGAGATTATTCACTGAAATAAGTTGATTATAGTAACTTTTCATATAAAACTTTAGGAAATTAGACTATATCAGATCATACATATGTGGTATGTTATCATAAAGTAGGTAATAATTCTGATTCCCCACAAAAATTATTCTTATTCCATTATAACCTTATCTCATGAAATTACCTTACATTAGAGCAGATGCAGAAAGACTATTTAAAAGGCTATGGAAGAACCTGAGTAAGGTATGGCAATACTTGGACTCAGATGAAGTAATACAGATGGGAAGAGTAGAAAGATTCAAAAGACAGAAAATAGAATCAATAATGCTTGTTGATTAATTGGCTTATTACAAGTAAGTTTCTTAAGGCTGCGAACATGTATTAAATTTGTTTCTGTTTCTTAAAGCAACTAAAAACTGTGTTATGCAACAATAAAAATTCAAGAAATTACTATAATAAATTTATGAATGACTATCATAGGTTTCCAAGCTATCTGAATGGCATGGTAACAAAGTGACAGCCTTTCTGCACTGTACAAAACATGGCTATGTGCTTTAACCCAGCAGTGCCCTATATATATATATCTGCCAGCCACAGAACTGCTATTAACATTTCTCAGGTTCCACAAGGAAATTCTACCACTTCTAGAAAGGCAAGAATAGTTATGCTAAGCTTATTTAGTTTATGTTTAATCCATCTATACCAGGTCCATCACTATATGAAAAATAAGATTTAAAATTCATAACTTAAGGCAATTCATTTAAAATTGTCTCTGAAGATGTAATAACATCACCAGGAAGTTCAAAAAAATAGTTCCCTAACTAGTACCTTAACTGATTTCTGCTTGCACTCTTGCTTTTCTATTACAAATGTGGACGCTGCTAAGATCATTTTTATGGAAATCATATCATGTCACTGTACTGCTCAAATCCCTCCAATAGCTTACCATTTCAATCAAGTAAAATCGGTTTTCTTAATATTTCACAAGGCCCCAGATGATCTCTCTCACTATCTCTTTTTCCTCTCTAATACAATCACCTATTATTCTTGCTCACTGTTCCAGGCACAATGGTCTCCTTGTTATTCCTTAAACTTCCCAGGCATGTTCCTGTCTCAGCTGTGTACTGGTAACTCCCCACTGCCTGGAAAGTTTGTCTCCCAGATGGATTTTCCCTCTGTCCCTTTCATCAGGTCATTGTATGAATGTCATCTTTTCAAAAGACCTCTCAGTCAACTCTATTTAAAATTGTAGCTCTCTACCACCACACCTCATACCCCTTAGCTTGCTTGATTTTTTCCCCCTTAGACTTATTATCTTCTAACAGCTATAAATGTAACTTGTTTATTTTGCTTATTGTCTATCTCCCCTCAATAGTGTATATAGACTCCATAGAACAGGATTTTTTTTTCTGCTTTATTTTCTGTCATATCTCCAGCACTTAGTCTAGTCCCTTAAACATATACAAACTCAAATAAATATTTGTTGAGAGAATTACCACATATAGAAATTTTGCCTGAATTTCATTAGTTTTTGGTAATGTTAGAAACACAGAAACATTAATAAAAAGACAAATAAATGAGCTACAAAATATTGAGTACCACATTTTCCTATAAATTGTAATATATTGGAATCTTGAACATATTTGAGGAACATATTCAACAGAATGAATCACACAAGCACCTATTCTGAGCAGGACCTATGGCCCTGAGGTGATGGGACAAAGTCTGATTCATCCTCACACTTCCCAAACTGCAGTTGAACTGGGAATTGTTCTGGCTATAAGATACAGGTACAGATGATTGTGGCCTTCAGATACAGATGATTGTGAATTTTTAAAAAGTTAAATTTGTTTGGTCGATCAGTTGGTCCTAATGGTTACTAACTTAACCCAGGCCTTCACTCATGGAAACGAATGCTATATGCAGGTGACCATTGTTGAGTACTTCATCACTTGCAGGCTTTACACATTCCCTATTCGGACTTTTCTTGAATCATGGGTCATGAGTTGGTATAAAAAGCAGTCATCAGTTGGATAAAATTAGTTATGAAATAGTCTTAGGGAATATTGGCAACTGAACCTACTGTACTAATTTGATAAAGTGCAAAGTGTACTACTTGATAAAGCTACAAACTTTATCATGAACTTACAAATATGTCCTGGCCTCTTGCATACCTATTTACACCAGATGCCAGAATCCTTTGAAGCCTATGACTTTATGTGTGGCTCATACGGAACAATGGAGGATGAGAAGGATGTTTGGCCACACCAGCCATACCAAACTTGGCAATCAGTGGGATGATGGAGCTCAAAGTCCTCTCACCCAGGCATAGAGTCATGTCTGATTCTTCTGCATCCCTAGAACCTAGTATACCCTACTTATTCATTCCTTTGGTACTTTATTTCTTCATTTTAAATATTTATTGAGAACTACTTGTATAAGGCACTTCTGGAGCTAAAGTAGTGATGTCGTTTGGTTCTTCATTACCAACCAAATCTCATCTCCAAATGTAATCCCCCTGTGTCAAGGGAGGGACCTGGTGGGAGGTGATTGGATCATGGGGTAGCTCCCCGCATGCTGTTCTTATAATAGTGAATCAGTTCTCATGAGATCTGATGGTTTTACCAGGGCTCTTCCCCCTTCGTTCTCTCTTCCTCTCTCTCCTGCTGCCTTGTGAAGAAGACACTTGCTGCTTCTTCACCTTCCTCTATGACTATAAGTTTCCTGAGGCCTCCCCAGCCATGAAGAACTTTTAGTCAATTAAAACTCTTTTCTTTATAAATTACCCAGTCCTTGGCAGTTCTTTATAGCAGTGTGAAAACATACTAAGACAAGTAGTGAACAAGAACCAAAATAATGCTTCCAGGATGGAGCTTACATCTAACTGAAGAGGCAGATATACCATACTACAATTGCAATATCTATCATAAAAAGAAATAGAAATTGATGAAAAAGCATATTACCTAGACCTGGCCTAGTCTAAAGTGTAAGACATAAAGTCTCATAGGAAGTGACTAATCTGAGATTTGAAAAATGGTTAGGAGTGGGCTAGGTAAGAAAGGATACTAAATATGGGAGTACCAGCCAGGAAGACACACAGTATTTTCAAGAAACTAGAATGTAAACAATAGGAGTATGCAGAGGAATGAAATGATTGTAATATGTGAGGCAAGAGACAGGTCTTAGGGAACCTTGAAGTCAATGAGTCAATGTAAAGAATTTTGATTAAGGGAAATAGGAAGAGTTTATGGGACTTTAAGCGGGAGAGTGACGTGATTAGATCCTAGTTTTTAGGGGGAAAAATCACTTACTATAATATATACGGCATTGCTTGGTATGTAAAATCTCAGTGGCTGTGTTATAAATATAGAAGGACCAGGGATCAGTTAAGAGGCTAGTTAGATAATTACTTTTGCTAACTTCTAGCTAGCCCGTTGAATGTCTCCAGTGATATTTTGAAATGAACTTTCCCAAGGCTATAACTTGTGCTTTTCATACAGTAGAGCAGATATAGAAATATTATTTGAGAGGTTATTGAAGAACGTGAGTAAGCTATGATGATGCTTGGACTCAGGTGGAGTAATAGAAATAGGAAGAGTAGAAGGATTCAAAAGACAACAAATAGAATCAATAAGGCTTGCTGATTAATTGGCTATGAGGTAAGATAAGCATAGCTGAAAGCAGAGTTGAATTATTTACTGCATCGATGAACATCAGAGAAAGAACTGGCTTGAAATGGAAAATTGTGAGTTCGCTATTGAACATATCGAGATTGAGTTGCTTGCGAGACATCCAAGTGACCTGTAAAATGAACACTAGATATATGGGTCTTGAGCATCGAAGAAAGATCTGGGCTAGAGACAGAAATGGGAGTAGTTGGCTTATACATGGTAATTGAAGCCACCATACTGCTGAGAGAATGGAATCTAGACAATATATTGAGTAAGTAAAGAAGGGGTTGCCTTGAGGAATTCAAACATTTCAAGAATGGGTAGAAGAAAATGGCTGGCAAAAGATATTGAAAATAAGTTATCAGAGAGATAGGATGAAAACATCATCCTATGTGTTCATGGAATGAATGAATGAAAAAGAAAGCTGGAAACATAGTGCTAGATTCCTCCCTTATCAGCCAACCAAAGTGTTTTTGGCAGTAGACTGGGATATCACATACAGTATACAGATATCTCTACCTGCTGGGAAAATCCATCCTTGGCTATAGAAAGCAGAAGTACACTACCCTCAGCCCCAGACATGTGCCTTTATTGCCCTTGTGTTTGGTCTTGGGTGTGGCTGGCCCATGCTGGTTCCTTATCCAGGAGGTAGGCATTGTTGGCCAACAAGTTGGCCTTAGTTGGCATATCATCATCACTACCTAAGTCAGGCTGAATGGTTAAGGCATTCTAGCCAGCTTATCAAGAAGGGACCTGAGTCATGGGAAATGACATCATAGTGAGAGACAGGACTAGCTGGATTTCCTAGGCCGACTAAGAATCCCTAAGCCTAGCTGGGAAGGTGACCGCTTCCACCTTTAAACATGGGGCTTGCAACTTAGCTCACACCCGACCAATCAGATAGTAAAGAGAGCTCACTAAAATGCTAATTAGGCAAAAACAGGAGGTAAAGAAATAGCCAATCATCTATTGCCTGAGAGCACAGCAGGAGGGACAATGATCAGCATATAAACCCAGGCATCTGAGCCAGCAACAGCTACGCTCTTTGGGTCCCCTCCCTTTGTATGGGAGCTCTGTCTTCACTCTATTAAATCTTGCAGCTGCACTCTCTTTTGGTCTACATTTGTCATGGTTCGAGCTGAGCTTTCTCTCGCCGTCCACCACTGCTGTTTGCCGCTGTCGCAGACCTGCTGCTGACTTCCATCCGTCCAGATCCGGCAAGGTGTCTGCTGTGCTCCTGATCCAGCGAGGCGCCCATTACAGCTCCCAGTCGGGCTAAAGGCTTGCCACTGTTCCCACACGGCTAAGTGTCCGGGTTCGTCCTAATCAAGCTGAACACTAGTCACTGGGTTCCACGGTTCTCTTCCATGACCCACGGCTTCTAATAGAGCTATAACACTCACTGCATGGCCCAAGATTCCATTCCTTGGAATCCGTGAGGCCAAGAACCCCAGGTCAGAGAACACGAGGCTTGCCACCATCTTGGAAGCAGCCCGCCGCCATTTTGGAAGTGGCCCACCACCATCTTGGGAGCTCTGGGAGCAAGGACCACCTGGTAACAATAGGCCAAATACTGTGCTGATAAGGTATGAAAGCCAATCCTCTCATTGCTACCTTAGACATTATATGCTGTCTATTCATGAGTGGAGGTTGGAGAAGTATAAAGGCAAAAAAAAAAAAAAAAAGGAGCAGAAATATATCTAGAGTGCTTAGAGGTGACTTCATCAAACAGTACTCTCAACTTTCAACATGCACATTAACTGGGGATTCAACTTTTAATGTGCACATGATTCTGATTCAATACATCTGATGAGATGCCTGGGATTCTATGTTTTCAAAAAGCTCCCAGGGGATGTGACTGTTTCTGCCCCAAGAACACACTTTTAGCAGCCAGGGTTTAAATGATATTTTAGCACTAACACGGAGGAAAATAAAGTAACCCCCCCACCCCCAAGCAGCTAGGGCAGAAACTGATCAAGAGAGACACAGGATGCTATGCAAAGCCCAGATCTGACCTCCAGGTTTGGACACAAGTCATCTAATAAAGGATGTGGATGGCAGTGACCAATTAATGTGTACTGGACCTGGTTACTTGAAGGATCCCACCATGGTGGACTTCATGTTTCTTAGGTGCCTTTAATTTTTTGGATCCCCAAACACAGTAATTCCAGGACAGCTTGAAGCATATACATTTGTAAACATAGATATAAAGCAAAATTTCCATGGATCAGCAGGCTCTTTAGCTGTGATTTTGCTTTGGAATATAAAGACTTTTCCTAGTGTTTAATGCAATAAAGAAATATTTATAGTAAGAAAATTGAATCTACTTAATTTTTGAAAGTTTAATTTTATAAGGTATACATTATAATGAGTATTTTTGTGTGTGACAGAGCCTAGAAGCATTGTATTTGGATCAGCACTTAAATTTTAAAATAAAATACAAACTCTACACTAATATAGATTTTGCCTTCTGTAAAGTATGTTCAAAGTAAAAGTTGAAAAAAAAATGTAGAGAAAGAGAAATAAGAACTAGAGAGTATATAATATAAAGTGAAGCAGACAAGGCAAACTAAAAGAAGGATTTTTACGGGGAAAAACAATTTCATTTTATTGTAAAGCCCTAAATGAATAAAAGAAGACTTTGAATGTGAAGATGATTAAAAAGACAAAATCATTAGCTAAAGATATTTACAAGTTTAGACTCTTTCATTTTGATTGTAATTTTAATTAGCTGGACACAGGGGGAGAAGAAAATGAGAGCCTACATCATCTACTTACTCTTTAAATTGCATTCCACCTTAATTTTCTGCCTTTCAGTTCTTAATTTTCTCTATTTTTGTTCTAAGTAATCCAGTTATCAGGCTAAAGTGATTTTTTTCTCAGCCAGGTTTAGCATTCAGTATTTGTGTCTATGAACAAGAAAAAGTTCACCCCATTGCTTTAGTTTTTATTCTTTCAATAGCAAAAACTCTCTACAGGTAACTTTTTTCAGTCTTTTGTTTATTCAGCAAGGGGCTTCATATACCATGACAGTTAGATGACTAATAACAAAGGCTCCTATTTTCAAAATAATTATGCTCTATTTACAGAGTTTTCCACAAAATTTACTCATAAAATTTAGAAGGCAGTAAAGCCTTAAAAAGCTGTAGTTTTACTATTCATTAAAGCCATTTTTCTGTGTACAAGCAAGTTGCTTGTTTCTTTATATGATAAAATGGAAGCCAAAAATTCAGTATTAGTTAATCAAGTTCGGGATTTGTGTATACGTGAATAAAAATTTTCAAACTTACATTGAACACCTCTGTTTAGAATAACCTACTTTCCAAAGAGTTTATCTTCAAGATATTATCTGGCTTTTTAGTACGGCTATTTATTTTGCATTTGTTAAAGAAAACAAGGCTGGGTGCGGTGGTGGGTGCCTGTAATCCCAGCTACTAGAGAGGCTGAAGCAGGAGAACCGCTTGAACCCAGGAGGTGGAGATTGCAGTGAGCCGAGATCGTGTCACTGCACTCCAGCCTGGGTGACAGAGCAAGACTCATTCTGAAAGGAAAGGGAAGCAAAGGAGAGGGGAGGGGAGGGGAGGGGAGGGAATAAAATTAGCATAGCTAACCATGTATTGTGTGTTGTTCAGTTTGTCCCCTCTTCCAAAACATATTCACTCAAATAATGTAAAGGAACAACGCTGAAGCGTCTTGAGGTCTAAGGATGAAACGCACTATTTAAGTGGTGGTGACAATTATTATTATTATCCTGCCATAGATAAAAAGTTAAAATTGGCTTTTAAAACTATTGTGGACAATTTCATTTTGCTTCCCCATAAGTCAGAAACAATCAAAGTACGTAGTTCTCAGCACATGAGCTATACACTCAAACTAGAACTAGTAGGGAGTATAAAAGGAATTATCCTAGTAATTAAATACCCACAAATAAAGCATTAGTTGCCGATCGTAGCCAACCAGGATGGTTATTAAGGGACAGCTAGAAAACTCAGCTCTACCTCATTAGTTGTCTTCTGTCTAAAATTCCAAAATATATTTGTATTTTTTAAAAAGCCTTTCTCACCTTAAAGTACAAATGTTCCTTGAGAGACATGATGCTTTGAAGCTTATAATTGTTGCATGATTTTATTTTATTTTATTTTACTTTATTTACTTATTTATTTCGAGACGGACTCTTACTCTGTCGCCCAGGCTGGAGTGCAGTGGTGCAATCTCAGCTCACTGCAACCTCCATCCACCTCATGGGTTCAAGCGATTCTCCTGCCTCAGCCTCCCGAGTAGCTGGAGTTACAAGTGCGTGCCACCATGCCTAATTTTTGTATTACTAGTAGTGGCAGGGTTTTGTCATGTTCGCCAGGCTGGTCTTGAACTTCTGACCTCAAATGATCTGCCCAATTCGGCCTCCCAAACTGCTGGAATTACAGGCATGAGCCACCATACCTGGCTAGTTGCATGATTTTAATGAGTATGAGCTCCACATATTTTCTAGACAAAGAGTTTGAGAACAAGGTAGAATAACAGAGAGGAACTAAGAAGTTGAGAGAGAATTAGAGGGGGTTGCAAGGGTGAAAAATCTGCAGAAAATGAAATACAGGAGCAAAAGAGACAAAGTTCCTAATCGTGTCCAAGAATGTGATGAGAATTAACATTAAAATTATTAGAAAGTGTCAACAAGAAATGCCATAAAATCCCTTTCTTTGGAAGTCTTTCAAAATCGAATAGTTGGGTCTTTCCAGCATGGTTTAGATGTACCACTGAATATAAGGTGATGACATTAATTGTCCTGTCTAGGATTAATCTCTCTCTGAAATGCATCATACCTGAAAGATCTTTTCTTTAATGCAATATTGGGATGTTGTACCAATTTGTTTATAATTTGGATATGCTGAAGCAGCACTGAGATTTTATTCCAATATTTCTTATCTTGCTACTCTTGTCCATTTTGCCTAACAGTTATTGCTCAATGTTCAGACTCTTGCTTCAAGATCAACTGAAGTGCTTTGTAAGTATATGGATTCTTGAGGCCCCATCCTTTTTGGGGGGTCAAATAACCCAATTTGTGAATCCTCAGAGGCCTGCTAAGATGAGGGAGGGACATGTTTTCGGAGTTAGAGAGTCAAACAGAGAGTGGCAAGGCAGAGTATTCTCCAACAAGATGATATTACTGTCATCTGGTGGGGGTCCCCACCAGGTACATTTCTCAACCTGGGTTGGGTGTGTACCCTCCAACTCTGTAGCACCCCCCCCCCCACTCTAGTTACAACACTTAGGAACACTGCATTGTATTTTATTGTTTAGTTGGGTAGCGCTTCTTAGCTCTCATATTAATAGAGGGCCATGTGTTTCTTGTTTACTTTTAAGTCTCCAGAATCTAGTACTGTTTCTGAAACATGGCAAGTGCTCAAATAATATGTGTTGAATAAAAGAATAAATCAATGAATAAATAAAGAAGTGCTGGTCGAGTAAATTAAAAAGACACACAAAAAAGGAAAAAGAATGTATGTATCTTGCCAGCAAAATGAAACAGAAAAACAATATCAGTAACTAACAATTATTAAATTCTTATTATGTGTCAGGAGTTCTAAGTACTTTAAATGTCATATTTAATTAATACAACTGTATAAGTGGAATCCTATTATTATTGGATTTTTCAGAATAAAGGAAGGTCCAGTTACTTGCCCACAGCCACACATCTAGTAAGACAGGACTAGAACTGAAACCAAGGCAGCTGGACTCTTGAACCCATGCTCTAAGCTATTACTCCATGTAATGTAGACAGTGATAAAGGTACTGTGCTAGGAGTGGTGGAGGATGCTAAGAATCAGCTCCTGCTTTCAAGGGGGCTTACAATAATTAACAATACATGTTTATCTGAATAATTGGCTCTCCCTTTTTCTTTGCAATTTAAGAGAAGACAGAAAGAAAACAGGGAGGCAAGGATGAAGGAAGGAAGAAAAGAAGGAAATAAGGAAGGAAGGGAAAAGGAAGGAAGGAAGGGAAGGAAGGAAGGAAGAAAAGAAGGAATGATGGAAGGAAGGTACGGAGGGTAGGATAGGGAAACAGCCCTAGTTCTTCAACAGGTTTTTGATCCAATTTACGCCTGTTTGATTCTGTTCCAGACAAGGAACAGTGAACAAAAAACTCTCAAGCTAGCACTTAAACCCACAAAAACTTTTCACCATCCTTTGAATATTAAAAAAATCCATCTTCTAACACAAAGAAATGATAAATGTTTGAGATGATGGATATGCCAGCTACCCAGATCTGATCACTGTACATTATATGTATCGAAACATCACTATGCACCCTAAGAATATATAGAATTATTATTTGTCAGTTTAAGACAGTATTTTTAATGGAGAATTTGTCTCTATTAGAAAAAGGAATCTGTCCTTTGTTAATAACTTGAAAGAAAAAAAATTTGCTGCCAAAAAACCCAACACCTACTTTATATGGGTATAATATATTTAAATTTATATGTATGTATAATATATATTTCATTTTTTCCTAGACTAATCTTACACTACAAATTTCAACATTACCACCATAGCATTTACATGTATTCTAAAACTATCCAGTGATGTGGCATAAAATAGCTAAGTCATTTTTACTGAGGATCATAAAATCTTAGAAGAATTTAGTTTGAAATCTCTAAACAAAAATTGCAAAAGTTAATATAAGGTAGAAAAAGAGAAATAAATTTTGACTTATTAGAGAAAAGGGTTCAGGTGCAGGATGAAGCATATCAAAGGCACATGAAATGTCGTTACTTTGAAAAAAAATACAAGGATGACAAGTTTAGAAAATTAACTATCAAATTACATTTCTTTTAAGAGGGGCAGTTAAAATGTTGATGAACAAATATAAGATGATTACTCAGGGGCACTAAAAATACAAAATGCGTGGGTTCTACTAGATAATACAATAAGTACTGGGAGTTTCACTTTATAACCCGTTGTGATTAAACAGCATACTGCTGAAAATGCAGATGTGATGCTACCATAGTAAAACCAGCCTTTTAAAAGATGTTTCTAATTAAATCATGAAAAATCAAAAAGAAAATGTTGAGAGAAGCCATTTTGAAGATTTTATTAGTGGTGCATTCATGGAGAGGGCTTTATTAGATTTGAACTAGCAAATGCTAATGCTAGTGTACAAAATGATAGATAAGCATTTTTCCCCTTAAAAAGTTATTTCTTCCAGGGTAAAAAGTTTTCTTGTAATATAAGCATCCTTTGATTCAGTTAAATTCTAGTAATGAGGTACTCGACTATTTGAGTTAATAATACTTTAATTAATCCATACCTGTATGTGATCTAGATGTGTTTATTGTTGCTATTTCTCACTCGGAATTTTACTGCTAAATAGAGGACTCCTTTTAATATTCAAATAGCTTTTATCAGGAGTCCAGAAGTCATTGGCTTTACTCGATATTAATACCAAAACATCAGGTGTAAATTGATCCATTGTAGAAGCTCTTGTTAAATGCTTTCTAGTCAGAGCACAGTGGCTCACACTGTAATCCCAACAATTTGGGAGGTTGAGGTAGGAGGACTGATTGAGCCCAGGAGCTTGAAACCAGCCTGGGCAACAAACACAGTGGGACCCTGACTCCATGTGCATCTTTAGTTCCAGCTACTCTGGAGGCTGAAGTGGGAGGATCACTTGAGCCTGGGAGATGGAGGCTGCAGTGAGCCGTGGTCTTGCCACTGCACTCCAGCCTGAGAGATAGAGTGAGACTTTGTCTCTAAATAAATAAATAAAATGATTTCTAAGGAAACCCAGGGAAGACCTAAATTAAGATTAACCCATGAAATGTATGACTAATTCCAGAAGATGAAACGTAGATTTCTTGTTTTGAACACTATTATCTCCTCATTCACCTGGCTAATTACTAACTATCCTTCAAAACTTAGCTCAAAATTCACCATAGTTGGGAACCTTTTCCTAATTCCTTCCTCTTTTGGCTTCTAGATGCTCCCCTATCAACTTGTGGATATCTTGCTCTTTGCAGAATGATAGTCTCTTACCTGCAATTATAAAATCTAAAAACTCTAAAAACCAGAAGCCTTTTTCTTTGGTGCAAATTTATTTGGGGGTAAAACTTGACCCATAAATTTATTTGCAGAAATAGTAAAATGTTTGTTTGATTATGACAGTGCTTCCCCAGACCATACAAATAGGTTAGCATAATATATGGCATATGCACGCTATAGTTCACCCTTGGTATCCTTGGGGGATTGGTTCCAGGAACCCCTACATAAAAATCCTCAGAAGCTCAAGTTCCTTATATACAATGGCACAGCATTTGCAGATGACCAATACACACCATCCCATATACTTTAAATCATCTATAAATTATTTAAAATACCTAATACAATGTGAATGTTCTGTAAATAGTTGTTACACTTTTTGGAAATTTGTGTTATTTTTTATTGTTGTATCATTATTACTATTTTGCCAAATATTTCTAATCACGGTTGAATCCGCAGATGCGGAACCCACAGATCCAGAGGACCAATCGTAGTATTTTTTAAAAATGCTCTCAGATTTTAGAGGTTCCATTGAGGCTTGGGACCTCAATGCCATCTCACAATACTTAAATTGCACCCTACCAGCTCCATTTCCCATTTGGATTCCATGACTCTTCAACATCTTACCATTTTCTTTAATTTTCTTACCCAAATGAACTTGCCTTCTATTTTGCAGAAAATATAAAGCTATGAGGTTTGAGATCCCAACCAATTAATTGGCCATCCCCTGCCCTCATGAACACTAGTTGATCTATACCTGCCATTCATTCTTACTTGCTTTTCTCAAGTCTCAGAGGTGTAGGGGGGGAAAGTAACATATTTTTCTCACCCATCACAAGAGTCATGGTTCAGGCATCTATAATAAAAGACAGACTGAGAAGCAAAAAGCTTCCAAATGTATTTAATATAAATTTTATGCAACTCACAAGCTTTTGGAAATAAAGACCTAAAGAAACAAAAAACAATGCGATATAGTTTGGCTGTGTCCCCACCCAAATCTCATCTTGAATCGTAGTTCACATAATCCCCATGTGTAGTGGGAGGGACCCAATGGGACATAATTGAATGATGGGAGTAGTTACCCCCATGCTGCTGTTCTCATTATAGTGAGTGAGTTATCACAAGATCTGACGGTTTTATAAGGGGCTTTTCCCCCTTTTCCTCAACACTTCTCCTTCGTGCCACCATGTGAAGAAAGACGAGTTTGTATCCCCTTCTGCCATAATTGTATGTTTTCTTAGGCCACCCCAGCCATGCTGAACTGTGAGTCAATTAAACCTCTGTCTTTTATAAATTATCCAGTCTTGGGTATGTCTTTATTAAGAGCATGAAAATGGCCTAATACACTATCTATTTTATGTTTAGATTTGATTAAGAGTGGACAACACTATAGAATTATGATTGGACAAAAGGAAGTATGATCTAATGGTAATAAACCAGGGGGAACTTAGCAAGGCCTGTTTGTACAAATTCTTCTTTGTATCTCTGTGTCTTCATTCTTTCCTCTGGGTATAGGGAGGATCCCTCTGGAATGAATGTCTTATGACCTACTTTAAAGGATGGTCAGAGAATTATTTTATAGTCTGCTTCAGGGGAGAGCCACAGGGGAAGGTCAGAAAGACCTTCCTGCTTCTACTCTTTTCTCAAGTGCCAGGGTGCCAAATGTGGGGATAGTGTGTCCTGAACCCTGTCAAAGGTTAAAGTCTACTTCCCCAGTTTAAAACCTACATTTCCTATTCTTTAGATCTTAATACTTACTGTTTACTCCAAAATTGTACTCTTTTGTTATTTCCATGCTTTATTTTCTCTTATATGTTTTTATTGTCCTATAAATATGTTCAACTGTCTCCAAGTCTTAAATTACACCCCCCCCCAACCAATTCCACATCCTATGCTCTCTCCTACTTACGTCTCCCACTCTCCTGTATTGCTTTATCAAAAGCTGCTTTTAAAGAGGACATAATTCTTGCTTCCTCTATGACTTTCTAATACTCAAACTTCCTGCAATTAGGTTCTGCAGGGACTAGTGTTGGAAAAAATTACCAATGATGTCCAGATAATCAAGTCCAATGGTCATGTTTGTTCCATATCTAAATGAATCCCCCTATGCCATTTAACACTATTGACATTTTCTTGAAACTCTCTACCCTTTGGTTGACATTTTACTGTTATTTCATTCTCTCCCACCTCTGTTCTTTCCTTTTTCATTTCTTTGGGATTATTTCTTCTTGCCTGTCTCTTTCATACTGATGCCCCACAAAGTTCCAGTTTTTACTCACAGTTATTTATTTTTTTCTTTTATAAATTCTTTGTGTAAATGTGTGGCAATCTCATCATTTTCATGACTTTAATTCTTACTTATAATGCTAATGACCTCAATAAATGTATCTTCAATCCTAATCTATTCCCTCTCCTTTATATTTATAAAAGCAACTGCCTATCAAACATACTTCTTTAGATGTCTTATAATCACAACATATGTAACATGTCCTAAACTGAACTCAACTCCCACCCCCACCCCCATATTTCTTATTTATTCCTGCCACATCTATAGCAATGATGCTATATCCAAAACACAATCTAATTTTGTTATGCCTCTGCTTAACCCTTCCTGGCTCTTCATTCATTACCTAAAATCAGAACTTCTTAACTGGTATATCATGAGACCCTCCTTGATCTGCACTTCCTTACCAATTTCCCTGGTCTCATCTCCAGCCACTCCGAGCCTCATGGTTTAAACATTAGGAACTCTAAGCTGCTTATAGTTTTCCATGTTCTCTGTGCTGTTTTATGATCTGCACACTTGTTCATGCTTTTTCTACAGCCTGAAATGCTATTCCAACTTTTCTTACTCTGTATAGTTCTTATTAACCTTTCAAAATCCCAGACATTATTTCATCTAGGAAACAACTTTTATTGACCAGTGATTCTGAGAATAGGAAAAGCCAAAGCGGTTTACTTCCAAAGGCAAAATATGCAAGCCTAGTGTTGGGTGATTTTTATTTTATATTTTTATTTATTTTGTTTGAGACAGAGTCTCATTCTGTTGCCCAGGCTGCAGTGCAGTGGCACGATCTCAGCTCACTGCAACCTCCGTCTCCCAGGTTCAAGTGATTCTCTTGCCTCAGCCTCCCAAGAAGCTGGGATTACAGATGCCTGGCACCACGCCTGGCTAATTTTTATGTTTTTAGTAGAGATGGGGTTTCACCACGTTGGCCAGGCTGGTCTCAAACTCCTGACTTCAAGTGATCCACCTGCCTAGGCCTCCCAAAGTGCTGGGATTACAGGCGTGAGCCATCGCACCCAGGCCAATATTTTAAATATCCTCAATGCTCCTTTGTGGGTATTTCAGAAGCACGCAATGATTATTGAGGGTTCATTCAAGAACAGCTGTTGCAAAAGCAGTATTTTATTCTTCAATACTATTATGATAATATATTTGCATACCTAGCTCTTTCTAGGTTTTGTTTCCATTTCCTTACATCTTTCACTTGGGAACAAAAATGTCTAGGTGTGAAGTAGATTAACTGTGCACCAGTTACCAAGTAGTCTGAGTCCAGTGAGACAGAACACCTCCACACATAAGTTACATGAAGTGGGTTTATTAGTTATAAATAGGTAGCAAGGGACAACAGAAGCCTTGGGTTCATTACCAGTCATTCCCTCAAGGCTCAGGAAAGCTGCCTGTGGAGCGTGGAGTCTCAGCTGCAGGTGTCCCACTTGTGCCACAGATGAGGGACGCCAGAAAGCATCTAGCCTTGGGTTTTGTACCTCAGGAACATGTGACACACTGGGCTAAAGCACTGAAGGACATCCTGTCTTCAGGACTGGACTGCAATAGAGCTTGGGCTATTCTGGTGAATCCTTTCCTATCCTAGGATGTTGCATTTCCAGATCATTCTACAGTTATTCTTGAGAACTACAAGAAAGAAAGGGGGAAGAACTTGGTTGGTATAAGGCTACTTGGAGAACTGTTCTACACTAGGCCAAAAGTTTGTTTTTATGTCTTTCTCTTTTTATATACATATAGCTAAATTATTTCCAGAGTTGTACAAATCTATAATACCACAAGCAGAGTTTGACTGCATTTTCCCCAACACTGAGTATTTTTATTAACATTTTCTTTTGCTCTTGTTAATGCTTAATAGTGAAACAGAGCAGAGTATTTTTGTGTTAATTTGGATAATTTGCATACTCATGATGCTGTTCATTTTCCCATATATTTTTTATTAGTGATAGTTCTTTGTTTTGCCATCATATTTTAATTTTCATGAGTTCTTCTTGTTCTCTGAATTACCCTCCTTTTTAAATAGCATTCTGTTTATACCTTATGGTTACAGTATTTTCTGAAATATTTGTAAGGTATTATTGAGATTTTTTTTCTTTATTTTCTTTAGCTTGAACCCTATACTTCTTTGATGGTCATTTCTTTCTACTTGTACTTCTTGATCATTCTCTTTCATAATACATGCTTCACTCAATTCCAAGTGATTCCTTCTTATCCATCGATGTTTCAGAATGTGACAATAAAAATAAGTGACTGTGTGCTGTGTACATGAGCAGTTTATCCACTGGCATGCTTTGCTTTAGGGTGAGTAGGGTGAGTAGGGTGGAGGGTGAGTAGGGTGAGTAGGGTGGAAGGTGAGTAGGGTGAAAGCCAGCCATCATGCTGGGAGGCCCTAAAGCAACAAAAGAAGACTTTGCTCTGGAACAGCCTTATCACACTCCTGAATTCTTCCCAGAGAAGTGGTTCATTTTCTTTGGAAAAGGAAACACTGATTTTGTTTTCTTTTTAACTTGGGAAATAAAAGCTTGACTTCTGAGGATTCTGCTTGCATGCGTATGTGTATGAAGGAGAGGGTGAGATGGGGGTGGAGAGAGACAACAGTGACTGAATTCCATGTACACTCTGTCTATGAACCCCTGTCTTTAGAGTCCCATGTGTCATTCATGGGGTTTTGGAGGCCAGCTTCTCTCTGGGGCTCAGTAGGGCAGATCAGTCAGCCTGTTCTGTACTTTCTAGGTTCAGGCTCCCCCTTTGCTCTTTCATCAGTAACCACTCTTTCACTCACTCTCTATTTTGCAAAAATTGGTTGAAATTTCTCATCCACTATCTCTTTATTATGATGATATTTACCTGGATTTTCCTTCTGGAAAATTGTTGCCCGCATAATGTGCTTTTTTTTTTCCCCTCAAATTAAGATGTTTGTAGTTTTAATTCATTGGCTTTTTAAAACTAAGGAATTAACACATTTAAGTTCATATGTGATACAAATATTTTTGTCATCTTTTTACTTTGGTTTATTTTGATGTAAAGAAAGTTTTAAATTTCATGTAGTCATCTCTCAGTCTTTCCTACACATATTTTTCTTCTATTGAATGTATATTTGGAAAATTCTACTTATTTCAGATATTTGCTTCTGGTAAATTATGTGTTCCTTTGGATTTTCAGTGTTTTATTTTTAATAATAAATATTTAATCCGTCTAAATGTATTTTGGTATATGGCAAATTTTCAAGCCTTTTTGTTTTCTTTTTAGTAGAAAAATTTTTTTTCAAACAGAATCTTAGATGGAAGTTTAATTTATAAAAATTGGAAAGTTGGCTAGGCACAGTGGCCTGTAATCCCAGCACTCTGGGAGTCTGAGGCAGGAGGATTGCTTCAGCCCAAGAGCTCGAAACCAATCTGGGCAACATCGTAAGACCTCCCTTTTTAAAAAAAATTAAAAATCACAGGAGTACGGTGGCACATGCCTTTAGTACCAGCTACTCGGGAGGCTGAAGTGGGAGGTCACTTGAGCCCTGGAGGTCAAGGCTGCAGTGAGCCATAATCACACTACCGCACTCCACTCCAGCCTGGGTGACAGATTGAGACCCTGTCTCAAAAAAAAAAAAAAAAAAAAAAAAAAAAAAAGGGAAAGTGGAATGGTCTAAGTGAATTTGTGTGAGAATGCAAATTCAATCAGCCCATCTGTTTCTTTCAACCATGGTCCTATATTTGAAGTATCTTTAGTTTTTCAAAAGTAAATTTAAAAACAGTGGTTGGTATATGGTATAAAGTAAAAGTCAAAATTGATCCTATTCCTAAATTGCCAACCAATTATCTAAACACTAATTATTGGTAAGCCCTTTTTTCCTGATTGAGTTGGAAAATGCCTTTTATATATTAATTTACTACCCATGATAGATTCTATTTTAGGGATATCTTTCCATTCCATTGACCCCTCTGTCTACTTTTATACCAGAATTCTACTGTTTTAATTAGTATAGAGTTATGTGTTTCCATTTGTAGTAAGGCTGTGTGTTATTCTACTTGCATTGCTCTAAACAAATATCCGAGGCTGGGTAATTTATTAGGAAAAGAAGTTTATTTTTGCTCATGGTTTTACAGGCTGTACAAAAAGCATGGTGCTGGCATCTATTCCTGGCAATGCCTCAGGAAGCTTACAATCATGGTGGAAGGTGAAGGGGGAGTGGGCATTACACATGGCATGAGCAGGAGCAAGTGAGGTAATGGGGAAGTCTCAGAGTCTTTTAAACAACCAGATCTCACGTGAGCACATAGAGGGAGAACTCACTCATTACTGTGAGGATGGCACCGAGTTATTCATGAGGGATCTTTCCCCATGACTCAGATACCTCTCATGAGGCCCCACCTTCAATACTGGGGATTACATTTCAACACATTTGGAGGAGACAAACACACACTATATCAAGCCGATTCCCTTTCTTTCTTCCTCTTTCTTTCTTCCTTTCTTTCTTTCTTTTTTCTTTCTTTCTTTCTTTCTTTGTTTTCCTTCTTTCTTTCCTTCTTTCTTTCTCTCCTTCCTTCCTTTCTTCCTTCCTTCCTTCCCTCTTTCTTTCAAATCATCATAACTTATATTTTCAAAGAATGGTCCTAGTTTCCTGGTTTGCTCTACCTTATCTAGTCAGGTGCACAGGGAAAGTCAGGTCACCTACACAAAATGTGGTCAACCCATACAATCTTAGGGGTATTGATATTTTAATTCTGTAGTTAATTTTAGAACCATTTTTACTGATTTCCCTATATTACAGCATTTGACTCATTTGTCTTTCAAAGACTAGTAAACCTTAATTTGCTTTAGCAGCTCTGAATGGATTTTTATTGTTTCTTACCACTGGCTTTCAACTCATGTAATTTGAAAACTAAATGCAAACTGTAAAACTCAATCAATCTGGTAGTATTCTTTTAATATCAATTTTTATATAATTAGCCTCCAAACTGTGTTCAATTACTAACAATTAATCTTATGCACTTTCAGGGACAACACTAATTTCACACTTAGCAGCATTTAAAAGAAAGGTAGTGCGAATACCATAGGGAAAAAGTCCCTCCCCAAGGAGTTATGCTTTATTATCACTGACTAGAGAATAAAAGTGCTTTCCCATTGCAGTCTACTGTAGGGGCCCACATTTTCTTTAACTGTAGACCAGGAGAATTATGTAACAAACACACAAGCAAAATCACACATACTTTAATTACAGTTTTCAGTGAGACCACTAGCCTTTTAAAAATGATCCTGAATGTTCTATGTTCTTTTGACAATTTTCTCGAGTTAGTATTTTTATCAATGCTGTATGGTTAATTGCCCCATTAAGGCTGACTGTGAGAAACCAAACAATGGAACCATGATGGGACAAAGAATGAGAACAACAACAGCTGAAGGTAGAAAATTGTAGAAAACTTCTTATCATACAAGAAATGCTGTTAGAAATCAAGAAATTCCCCAAACAGAACGTAGTCAGTGCTTAATACATTTTATAATACGGAATAGCTTTTTAAATACATATTACCGACTTTTTTCTTTTAATAGTGCCAATTTCCAATTGACAAATTACACTATATCTTAATACTGACATCTATATGTAACTCCCTTAATATTTGCTATCTAAAGATCATATCATGTGTGAATCATATGGAAGTAATTTTTTAAAATATCACTTTAGTTTCTTTTAATAATTCAAGGTCAACTACAATGAATAAACCAAGGTTTAAACTATTTCCTAGTGTCAAAAATATAATGAATACATGTTGGATTATGTGACTGGTATTTAGCAAAAGGTGCACACATGTCTGTTTACTTTGGTGTTTCATGATTTTGACCTTTTAGGTGCTTCTTGTTAGTAATTGGTTGAAGAGGAGTTGTAGCCAATTTTAATGTTTGTAATTCATACTTAGATATGCAAATTGATGAGCACATTATAAATTTTTAAAATTATCGGAACAATTTATAGTGCAAAGTGGCATTGCTCCAGGGGCTGAGCAGCGGCCTGGGAACTCAGAGCTGTGCATTTTAATTTTGATTAACTCTCAGTGTGACCACAGGCAAGTGCCTTAATCTCCCTGTATCTTGGATTATTCATCTATAATATGAATGTAACAATTTTCTTGCTGTAGCTAAAGTGAGGAATAACTATGAAGCATAGAGTGGCTTAAAACTAAAGAGCACTTTATATATCACACAAAAGACCAATATGAGGCTAAAGATTTTATGGGTTTAATAAACATAAGTGTTATGTCATTCACACAAAGATAAGACAAATGGCCCAACATGAAAACTATGGAAATCACCATATCTCAATCTAGAAATTTTATTAAAATGTACTTAGCATAAGAAATAAACATTTGTAATGGTGTCAGACTTATGTGGACATTCATTATTAAATAAACTTTATTCCTTATGCTGTTTTCTTCAATGCTATATACATCTTTCAAAAGTATAATAATGAGTTTTAAAATGCTTTACTAGATACAGTCTTTAAAAGAAATCTTTCTTTTTCTCTCCCTAACAATAAGTAGGTTTCCATTAGGCATTTTAACTTTACACCAGGAAAACAAAAATTATACAAAGGCATTCAGCTTAAAGTAAGACGTTAGAAAACAACACTCAAATTCACAGTAATTCATAGCAAGGGGTAAATCTGTATTTTTAAACTCACCTAGTTGTTCCACCTGTTAAATAATATACTGTATCCTGAGAGCCACAGATACATAGGTGCAACTGGTGAGTTGATGATGGAATTTGAGTCTCTTTACTTTTCCATATATTGAAACATCAATCTTTTTAGCTTAATAAATAGTTCTGCAACGCTGAATTTCAGCAGGGAGGCCATTCTCCAGTTGTGTAGGAATACAATTTGGGTTCTAGTGTCTTCCCAAGCCTCCCTTGCATTGGGAAGCCAATATTTAGAAAGCTGTAGCAAACTAACACCTGTTAGACATAAATCACATGCAGAAATCTACAACTGGACAAGCTCAGGAAGATGTAATAGATCAAATCCATGAAGAACCTCACAACGAATTAGGAAAATCTTAAACTTAATCCTATAACCTGACAGGCAGTCAGCAGACTGACTTATGGAGAGCTGTAATGTGGGAATTAGAATGAATGCCAGATGGCTTCTAGAAGTCAAATTTGAGAGAGAAAAAAAAAGAATAAACTGCATTTGACGATAAGCACAGGGAGGGAGGCTGACAAGGAAAATGCGGTCACAAAATAACACACAAGGATGAACTAATATTTTACACTGTATTCTCTTTCTTTTGTCTCTCCCAGCCAGCTTGACAGAAAGTAGTAATGTTTGACTAGTCACAAGCTTAATACCAGATGCCAGTTTGAACAGGTGCAAAAACAAAGAACAGAACACTTCCATTTGGAACATCAGCTCTTTATGTAGTCCCTGATATGTTTTGTGGGAATTCACCTACCAAGTTTCTTGTTGCTATTTCCCTGATTGGCAGAAGTTCTATTTGATGAATACATAGCATATTCTGTTAGTCAATGGAAACAATGAAATAGGGGGAATGACCAATTCATCTGGGACTTAGTCTAATTCCAACAGTCCACCATCATGAGATGATATCAGTGCTGGAATTTTAAGATCACCTGGGTAGAAGAAAATGTGCCTGTTACCTGTTACAATTACCACACAATTGTAAAGCGTTACAACATTCTTTTACTTGTGAAAGATAGTGGAAATTGGCACTGCCAATTATCAGTGTTAAATGTATGACCAATCAGTATGAAGGCCACAAACAAACCAGCAGCTTGTTCCATAGAGTCAGTTGGTAAATTGGATGCAGGAAGACAGAGGAACACACTATCCCTCCTCTGTAGGTGGTCTCTGTTTCATTAGGTTTCCAATTGATGTTGCTGCACAGTAATCCAAAAATGTGTGATGGGAACATCACTCTCATTTTTCATTAACACCCCCTCGCAAATGTATTGGAGGCAGGTACAAAACAATGATTTTGCCAGCCTTACTTTTATCCTTTTGGAGACTATTTCTTATCCAACATCGCTGCTGGATGCTTTGTTTCTCCTTGTTTAGAATCACCGTAGTGACTCAATACTGTTTGATATGATCAGCTTCCTTTAGGATGCTGTGGAAAGAGTGAGAGAGCTGCTAATCTTTAAAAGACAAGTGATTTAGGAAAATCAGCTTATATATAATAATGGATATTGACATGACTACAAGATAGGTGAGAAAACTAAAAATAGAGATGATGCCTATTGTTTCAGGAAATCTACCAGCAATGTATAACGCATGGAATTTTTGAGAGATCTTAGAGATCATCCTGACTGAATTCCTCATTTTCATTTTATAAATGGGGGAATTGTGGCTCATACTGGCTCTAGCTTTCACAAAGCAAAGCAATTACTGGCAAAAGCTAAGTCTGGAAAGCACAATCTATGACTTGTGCTCTATTCAGTATACCATGTTCAGTCTATAATATGTGGATGCAGATAACTACAAGAACTACACATCTACAATACAATGTGTGAAGATAACTACAATTCACATCTTCTGCTTCCTTAAGCCTGTATCATAGCATTTATTAATACAGTTTCATCAAGTTATTATCTAAAATATTCTTCAATTTGTAGTTTTTGGAGAAATCATTCAGCATTATGCTATAAGTAGCAGTGTTAATTTCCTGGTAGAAAGTGTTACACTTTTTAGGTCGATTTCCTGAGACATTAGGCTCATCTGTTTTTCTTTGTATTACCTAACTTCAGTTCCTGTGTTATTATTAGCTTGAAAGCCTGCCCTGAATCCTCATCTATTGATGGAGATGGTGTCATCTTGCCTTGATTGTATCCAGAAGCTTCATCCCCAAGATAAAGGATGGACATCTCTCCGATGACCAGCTTCTTTTGCTCGACTCTAGAGAAGGTTGCTTTCTGCATTCTGGCAACTGCCCTCTGTCTACATGATTAGACTCGTTGGTTGCAGTGCTTTCTGGAGTAATGAAGGGATCCAGTGCACAGGGTTTAACTTACTGGGCACAATCTCTAAGCCAACTCTGCCTGAATGGGTCCCCTGTTTTTTCTCTTCTGCTCTTGTTGAACCATATCTCTGTTCCTTGTGCTCCTGGGAATTTCTTGCTCTGGTAAGTGGAGAATCACCATGCCTCAGTCATAGGCAACCTGCACCCAGAATGTTGAATCATGACATTTTTTTTTGCTCAGGATTATTTATCTAGCTACTTTGATAACTAATGTAATCATTCCAGAATATGAATCTCAAGAAAAAGAATGACTGATTTCAAACTATTTAAAATTATTCAGAATACTTGATATTTTATATGTACAAATACAGAATAGTTTATAGATATATAAACAGTTTGCTAAAATTTTCCTGTCGGTCTTATATTTATTTCTTTACCGCAAATGCTAGGAGTAAATTTATTCTATTCATTGTGATTCATCTTTGTTCTATTTTAAGAGCATTGAGCCCTCATCACCAAAAAGAGAGTTCTTAGAGGTAATGTTAACAGATACAGAAAAAATAGGTAGCAGGTTTTGGTTGTGTTTTCTTATTGTTGCTAAAAGTCCTGTGATTAACCATATCCTGTTTCTTACAGTAAGGGTAAATAAGAACATGCTAACCAAATAATCAAAACAAATGGTAAGTATACTAAGTGCATTACGGTGCTGCCAGACATATGTTAATTTCATTTGTAACGTTCATCTGTCTTCTTAAAGTTGCTTGCAAAGTTATCAGCAAAAATATAAAAAACTAAATTATTAGTCAATTGAGGAACTTAAAAATAAAAAATGTAATAGCCACTCAGTTTCTTTGGAAAAGTGTTTCCTTGATTCCTATCAATACAAATATTGTTTTTATGATATGATTAATGGAATGATTTAAAGATGGCTCTTTGTAATGCCACTTTGTTTAATGACATGTATGTATATTTTTAAATGTACCTTAATGAATTATATATATATATCAATTTTTTAAGGATAATGTTCAAATAATGTTACTTTGCTTATACTCTTTGCTTGAGTAAAAGGATTTATTGTGCACAGAGTGTGCATGGTGTGGATTAAACCTTCTGCTCTTATTAGAGGATTTCTCTATCAGGGCTGTATCTTTTATGAAACCTTAACATCCCCAGGCTCAGAGTCACTTGGGAGGCAGTCAGGTCTAAAATAGGTGTTTTTGAAAATGTAATTCCATATTGACTATGATATTAAAACTAACGAAAACTCAACTGAGAAAATGAATTTGGAGTTTAAATATTCAAATAGTGGAATTTGGGGCACAGCTATGTTGCCACAAAAACACAAAACATAGGATTTGCCATAAATGATTTATGTCCTTTGTGGCAATAACAAAATAAGAAAGAAAATATATTTACATAATGAAAAGTTAGAGAATCAGTTAGCACCTGTAAAGCTGCAAGTAACAGAAAACTCAACTCAGGAATGTCCAACTGAGAAAGAGGATTGATTCTTCAAGCAAGGAAAATAAAGGGGTAGGGCAAACTTCAGGGCCACTTGATCCAGAGACTTCAGCTTGCCTCGAGTGCTTTTCTACCTCTCTAGTTAGTTCTTGTGGGTTCCAGGAAGGGCTCTACCCCATGACTGCTTCCCACTGTGGTGAGATGATGCTTCCAGCTTCAGTGGGATTCCATGCTTCTTCAATTCATGGGAGAAAAAGTTTTCAAGCAAATCTACAGGTCTCTCCTAGAACTGGGATTAGGGTCAACTTTCCCTAAAATTATGGATTATATAACGAAGGGGTATGTAAGGATTATGTAGGGAAGGATTATGCAGATATATAACACCTCCCCACCCACAAACACAATTTCATGTTTATTTTTCTTTTAGATTCAGAGGGTACATGTGCAAGTTTGTTCAATGGATATAGAGTGTAATTGTGAGATTTGGGCTTCTAGTGTACCCATCACCCACATAGTCAATATTGAGGGTAACTTTTAACTCTCATCCTCCCCTCACCATCCCCCATCTTGGAGTCCCCAGTGTTTGTTATTTCCATCATTATGTCCATGTGTACCCGTTGTTTATCTCCCAGTTATAAGTGAAAATGTGTGGTAACAAACTCTTATTTCTGAATGAATGGGGGAATCTGATAGGTAATCAGTATTAGTGCATTATAGAATTAGACAGAATTTTCAAGTTAGATTTCACATGTACCAATGAGATGTATTAGCCCAGTGCCCATCATTTTAGTTAGGAAAATTATCAGGGAACCTAAAACCTTAAATCTTAGTATATGAAAGGAATTCTATTACAGTAATAATAATAAGAGATGTGTAAACTGAACCTTATAAAACAAGAAATGTTGGGAAAATATAGAGTCATACATTTATTAACAATAATATTAAGGAAAGGTATATTAAATACTTTCTATTTCTTACTGGCATCACTTTAAATTTTCACATCCAATAACTCATGTCAGTGTTTTTTTTTTTTTCTTTCTTTCTTTCTTTTTAGGTCATGAAAAAAATGGAAACTCTCTCAAGGAATAACAATCAGAGCTGTCTGGTTGACAAGGGACATTATGGTTGCAAGAAGACCCTGAAGCAAGGATTCTACATCAAAGATTCAGGGGCAATCTGAGTTTGCATTTAAGATCCTTCTGCCTATAGCAGTAGCTTATATGTTATGTTCAATTGACGTATAAGCACTGTGAAGAAATATTCTATTACAACCTCTTATGACATTAGCATTGTATATTTCAGAATGTAATTGTAGACAGAAAGTTGGTATATTTAATTCAAATTATGATTATTCTTTAAAAACAAAACTTGAAAATTCAGTTTATCTACATAATTGGCTTAAGTATTTGTTGCATGCCTATTCCATACCAAGCAATGAGCAAGGTGTTATAAAATAAAACATACAAAAACTATGTCCCTTTTTGCAGGCTGATTTTTACCATTTTAAGTAAGAAATATAATCTAATGCCCTGAAGAGTTATTCAGTTTGTATTGGGAATATCATTACTTTGAATAGAAGATTTTACAAAAATAGATTAAAACTGTGAGAAATTCTCAAAAAATTAAATGACCATAATATTCTCATCTCAGAATAAGAGAAGTGATTTGGCTTAAGCTGTGGAAAATAAGTCCTTTAGAATCCACATTTCCAAGGAGTTGCAGTTGGCTTTGCATGTGGTGGCTACTCCTTTATAAAGCATACTTCTGTGTTCAAAGTCTGTAGCTAGGGGAAAGCAAATTTATCCTTCAGCTAAACAAAAGTTCAATGATAAGAAAGAAAGTACAGGAAATTGTGAGTATTTTTTTTTCTCTTCATGCTTAGGGAATGCATGTGCATTTCTGCAGCAAAGGAGAAAATTAAAGGAAAACATTCTCCTCAAGAATCTTTCTTTGAATTTCATATGTAGACTCAGAAAACAGTATTGTTAGTGCTATTTATTCTGAGTAATACTTTTCAGTCAGATGTAAGCTGTTTTTCAATGTTTTGTTTTGGGGAAGGGTTTACTAATTTAACTAAAACTTTAAAAAGCAAATATAATAATTACAGTGAAATATGTGCTTCTGAACTAAATTCTCTGTTTGGTCAAATATCATTTGGATGGAATTTTTTCCCAGTCTCCATTTTCAAAATCAGTATAATTTGTGAAAACCTCTTTTGCTTATCAATATAACTAGACAACTAAAGTTCTAATCTGTCTAACACCTTAGCATTTTAATTTGTATTCATCTCTCTGTTGCTGATATATTGATATTCTTGTTTAATTAGTGGTATGAATGATAGAATCTGAGGTCTCAAATTATTTGCCAAAGTCACTGGGTTAACTCCTTAAAGCTGATCAGATGGGCTCTCTTTCTAACATCCTATTACAGGAGGTTTTTGTAAACTAGTGGTATAAACGATTATTTTTAGTTAAGAGAAGCCCCAGGAAAGATTAAAAAAATGGAATAAAGACATTCCAGTTCTTGATCTTATCTTTTTCTCATCTCAACCTTTAGAGAGTCTTGCTGGAAGAACACAAGGAAAGGCAGGAAGGCTTCTTACAGATCTTTGAGACCTCCTTCCACTCAAATCCCAGGGGAGCTAGAACGCTATACCTCTGTGGTTCAAAAAGTCTTTGGACCAGAAAAGGGGCCTTTATCTGCCAACATTTCAAACATATTCAATCAAATATTGATCTAGAAAATCAGTTACTTTTTCCTCTAGCAAAGAGATTAAATTAGTACTACCTACTGAAGGCCTACACATGGTCCTCGGGAAGATAATGATGGTACCCTAGGCTATTCCTAGGATCAAAAGTTTATATGGACACCAAACTGATTTAACGTTTTCTGTAATGCATGGAGACAAAAGGGTGAAAGATCTGCTTGCCAATAGTAATGTGCTGGAGATTATCTCATGTGGCGAGTCCTTGCATCAAGAAGCCAGGTTATGGTTTTCAAATCCATCTCATCTCTGAAAATAAAAGAAATGGAACGTGGCCTGTTTCACCTCACTGAAAGGTTTTCATCACCAGAAATATCTGATGCCTCTTATTCAAGTTGACAGTAGCACATGTTCCTCTGACTCATAAACAGTCCTTCTCTCTATTGTGTCCTGTTTCCAAGAAGTACTTAATGTTATGTTATTAAAGAACAGGAGGTTTGTCTGCCTATTCGTCCTCAAATAGGAGGCTATCAAAAATGACAAAAAGCTTTCCAAATTTTAAAATCAGTTGGAATTTCATGCTTAATTTATGAAATAATGTGTTCAAGTTGGTGTATGATATAAAAGGTAAACTTTAGCCTCCACATACTACACAATAGGGACAGCTCAATTTTAATTAGAAATTTTAGGTTGCAGAGAAGCTCATCTCTTCCAAAGTACCTATGATTTATTTATCAGTCACCTTTGTACTCTAAAAAAAATGAGTTTTTTGAGTTGTCTTTGCGTTTACCTTTACCTAATCAAGGAAACAGAAAAGATTACATATCTTACAAATTATACACACTCAAATCAAAATTTCATGAGTTAGTAAAAGTAAGAAAATAAAACATTACCCTTTTTCCTTGGAACCTTACATATGGCAACAATGGCATCAGCATAACGAACCTATTAATTAGAAGCTAATGTTGTAGAGACTAGGCATTTGAAGAGTCATACTTAGTAAAAAATAATAATCTTTCAGGTTATGGGACTTTAGTTGTTTGACACAAAGTTTAGATTCTTAGGTAAGATGGGGCATATTTTGGAAATGTGGCTTTGGGTTTTTATGGCACTGGCCATAATACGTTTATTATTAAGAAGATTATTTCAAACATTGTCACCATGTGGTCACTCAATTGTTTTGGCTGAATTGACTGCTAATGCAAGCAAATCAGTTCTCTGAATTCACTGTTGTTTTCAGCAGCATGGCAATGCAGTAAAAGAATTATGGGAATTCTTGAGCAATTACTCTATGCTAGCCACTTTGCTAAGTGATGAGAATATAGTGATGACTAAAGATACACATGGGCCCTCCTCTTAAATAACCAAATAATAAACACAATATTACTTCTGTAATAAGTGCTGTGAAAAGGAGGTACAGACATCTGCTGAACACCTGGTTTGTGTAGGGCATTTTGTTTATTTCACAAATTAATATAGAATCTTGTATGAAGGTTGAAAAGATTAATTGCAAGTTTAAGAACTAAAGAGCTCTGATTTCACAGGATCCTTGCATGGAAAAAAATGTCAGAAGAGTTTAGTTTATGGCAAGCTTAGTAGAAGACTATGGTGTGATATGGCTTTCAAAATAACTCATGTAGCTTTAGTCCCATTAACAAAGCCCAGGGTATAGACTAAGGAAGGAAAAGGCATTTGTGTAATTGACACCAGTCACATGTTGTGGGTTCCATTTCCAGGAAGTACAAATTAAAGTGGATATTAAAAATCTGGTGATGTCCACAGGAGCTGAATCCACATGATAAAAGGTCCAGAAATCATGTCTATAAGAAACATTTGAATAAAATGGAAAGCTTGGCACAGAGAAAACAAGGAGTGTTATGATAGTGTCTTTAAATAATTCATATGTTGTCATGGAAGATAAATTAGATAATGTATAGCCATACGTGACAGATCTTAGACCAACCAAAGGGAGGAAGTTACAAGTTTAGATTTAACATTGATGATGAACGTTTCAACAATAAAAGCTAGTTGAAAATGCAATTAATCACTTTGTAAGGCAGATTCCTTGGCATTAGAAATATTCAAATAGTGGCTTGAATAAAGTGTTTTTAAGAAATGCTATGGAAAGTTTTCTTACATTTATTGATAGATTAGACCAAATATTTTCTAAGGTTTCTTTCAACTCTAAATTTTTATGATTTCATGTTATAGTTATTAGAAAAGCTCATCTTCTAGAATGCACAAATGTAAAATTTTCATTCCTTCTGCAGAAATTTAGTGAAGGTCTGTAATTGTGGTAAAATATGGATAAATAACACATAATCTCTGACCTCAAGGTACTTATCATCTTGTGGAGATAACAAGTGCTTGAAAATAAGGAAATGATTCAGGATGGAATAAGTGCTGTGATGCAGTTAGATGGAAAGATCTGAGAAGACATGATAGTATTCAATTCTGAAGGAGGTGGTAATGAAGGAGAAGCAGACAAGATTAACAGAGAAGCCAGGAGTTAATTCTTCCTGCTTTTGTTTCTTTTTAGAGGATGAATAAAAAATAAGAAAGGTCAATAACCCAAAGCAAAGAGCACATTACATTACGTCTCCCAGGTTACTTCCATTCACTATGAGAAATATTTATGCAATATTAGAAAAGTAGGGTTCTGTATCTGTCCGGAATTAAGTCCTATACTCAAAACAGAGGATAGAGTTATGGAGCATAGGCTCTGCTACAGAGCCCTATACATAAGCTATAGACTTATATACACATTTTGGGCATAAAATCCTTTATAAATATATAAATAAAATTGAATATATCCTAACACCACTATGTGGGTTTTCACCAAAAGTATTTTATTTATTTTTAATGAAGATCTCTACCTGAAGATGCATAATTTCCTTTCTCTATAATGGATTTAAAAAACCCAGCTTTTAAAAATTTAATTCACCATACAATTCACCCACTTAATGTACAAGGTTAATTGTTTTTAGTATACACACAGATACCACAGCTAACTTTAGAACATTCTTATCACCTCAAACTGCATCCCTCTAGATATGACCCCAAATCCCTCTTAGCTTCCTCATCCCCAAGAAACCATTAATGTTTTCAAGGTCCATCTGTGTTGTAGCATGTGTCAATGCATCATTACTTTTTATGGCCAAATAATATTTCATTGTATAGACATACTACATTTGTTTATTCATGAATTGGTGGGAACCTTTTGACCATTATAAATAATGCTGCTATAAACACTTGTATACAAGCTTTAGTATGGATATATGTTTTATTTATCTTGGGTATTTAACTAGGAGTGGAATTCCTGTATTTTATGGTAACTCAATGTTTAACTGAGAAACTGCTAGACTGTTTTCCAAAGTGGATCTACAATTTAACATCCCACCAGCAATTTTTCTATATCTTAGCCAACACTTGTTATTATCTGACTTTTTGATTCTAGTCATCCTACTAAGGGTGATGTGGTATCTCATTGTGGTTTCAATTTGCACTTCCCCAGTGACTAATAATGACATCTTTTTATGCGCTTATTGGCTATTTGTATAACTCCTTCAGAGAAATCAAAATTCAGATTGCTTGTCCATTTTTAATTTGGTTGTTTATCTTTTTATTACTGAGTTGTAAGAGTTCTTTGTATATTCTAGTTACAAGCTTCTTATCAGATATATGATTTGTAAATATGTTCCTCCATTCTATGGGTGGTCTTTTCACCTTTTTGTAGTGTCCTTTGAAGAACTAAAGTTTTTAATTTTGATGAAGTCCAAAATTATTTGCTTGCACAATAATAGCAAAAATAGATTGGACTTCATCAAAATTTTTGTTATATCGAAGAATCCACTGCCAAATCTGAAGTCATTAAGATTTACATCTATGTTTTCTTTTAATAGTTTTGTAGTTTTAGCTCTTACATTTAGGTCTTTGACCCATTTGTATTGATGTTTGTATACAGTGTGAGGTAAGGTTCCACCCTTATTCTTTTGCATGTGGTCATTTGCCCCAGCAACATTTGTCAAAAAGGCAATTTTTCCCTATTAAATGGTCCTGGGACCCTTGCTAAAAATCAGTTGACCGTTGGCACATAGATTTATTTCTGGACTCTCAATTCCATTCCATTGATCTATATGTTTATCATTGTGCCAGTACCACACTCTCTAGATAACTGTGGCTTTGTAATGAGTTTTATGTCCTCTAACTTGGTTCTTCTTTTTCAAGATTGTTTTCGCTAATTTGGGTCTCTTGCAGTTCCATGGACATTTTAGAATCAGCTTGCTAAGTTGTACAAGGAAATCCACTGAGATTTTGATAGGAATTGTGCTGAATCTGTAGATTTGTATTGGGAGTATTACTATCTTAGTAGTATTAAACCTTCCTTCCAATTTATATATATGGGGTCTGTTTCCATTTGCTTAGATCTTCTTTAGTTTGTTCCAACAATCTTCTATAGTTTTTGGAGTATGTGGTTTGCACATTTTTTGTTAAATGTATTTGCAAGTATTTCATGCTTTTTGGTACTATCTTAAATGGAATTGTTTTTTTAAATTCCATTTTCATATAGTTCATTACAAGTTTTTAGAAATACAACTGATTTTTGTATATTGATCTTATATCTGGCAACCTATGGAACTCATTTATTAGTTCTAATAATTTTTAGTAGGTTTCTTAAGATTTTCTATACACAATACCATGTCATCTGCAAATAAAAATAGTTTTATTTCTTCCTTTCCAATCTGAATGCCCCTACTGTGGCTTATTAAAAAATAATCTATAATTGAGAGAAAAAAGAGAAGGAGGGGGTAAAAAGGCAGATACTATGTTGAAACACACATATGTAGGTTTTTGTGAATTTACACTGGAACAATAATATTCCAGTTAATAACAGGTAACAGTTTTATAGCACTTACTTTGTACCAAGCATTTTACACTTATTAAATTATTTAATAACATAACAATTCTGAGGTTGTTGTTTTCATTTGATAGATGAAGGTGCTGAGGCATAGAAATGTAAGTGGTTCCATAGCCCATAAGTGGCAGAGCTGGAGTGAAGGAGTTACTAATAGCAGCTAACAGTTGGATGAATTTCACAATTTCTAAAGATCTTCAAATAGTGTAATTAATTTTTCAATTAATCCTCAACATCACTAAATAGAACACATGTCTCTATTTTACCCATAACAACACTGATGCTCAGGGATATAAAATGATTTGAAAAAGGTCCAGAATTAATGACACAAAATCAGAATGGGAATTCATAACTTTTGACTGAGGCTTTATTTATTAGATCATATCTACACTTCTGAAAGCCTTTTCTACATATTGGAAAAGAATAATTTTCTAGAGCAGCCCAGTGACTTGTACACAGAGTAGAAAATATTGCAATTTCTGTTAGGGTTCTTTGGGAGCATGAAACAGAAAGGTATTCTGGCTAGTTTAAGCCAAAAGAAAACATTAGAAATTTATTGGAAGTTTATAAGGCAGCTCATGGAACTGGAGGAAAGGCATAACTATCAAGCCTTACAAAGTCAGATCCCATGGTAATATGTGAATCTGGTACACAGGAACTAGTGAGCAATTTTTCTAGGGTCTTGTGATTAGGAGAAGTCAGTTCTAACTATTTTCTATTCTGGTGACAGTCTGCTTGAGATTATAATTTCATGAAGAGTTTGATTTTGATTTACCTGACATGATCTATAGGCCCACATGTTGGCTTCCAAGTACCACAAATAATAAGTTAAATGAGGTATGGGAGATAGCAAAGAATTGGGATGCTACTATCAAGAAGAAGTGGACACTGTGCCAGCCTAGCTCTAATCTCTAAAATACGGAAATAAAAAGTGATCATACTTTCATCATTAACCTTTTAAAAGTTCCTTAGAAATTTATGCAGAGAAAGTATACTATGAATATGAACCCAGTACTTAATACATTTTGTCTTATAGTCTTCCCTGCCCGAGATACTACACACATATGTATAGATAGATAGACAGAGAGATAAATATAGATATGGTTTGGCTGTGTCCACACCCAAATCCCATCTTGAATTGTAGCTCCCATAATCCCCATATATGGTGGGAGGGACCTGGTGGGAGGTAACTGAATCACGGAGGTGGGTTTTTCCTGTGCTGTTCTCATGATAGTGAAAAAGTATCATAAGATCCGATGGTTTTATAAAGGGCAGTTCCCGTACACATGCTCTCTTGCCTGCTGCCATGTAAGACATGCCTTTCCTCCTCCTTTGCCTTCCACCATGATTATGAGGCCTCCCCAGCCATATGGAACTGTGAGTCCATTAAACCTCTTTTTCTCTATAAGTTACCCAGTCTCCGGTATTTCTTCATAGCAGTATGAAAATGGACTAATTTGGTAAATTGGTACTGGTAGAGTGGGATATCGTTATTCAGTTACCCGAAAATGTGGAAGCAACTTTGGAACTGGGTAACAGGCAGAGGTTGGAACAGATTGGAGGGCTCAGAAGAAGACAGGAAAATGTGGGAAAGTTT
This sequence comes from Homo sapiens, assembly GCF_000001405.40. Lineage (NCBI taxonomy): Eukaryota > Metazoa > Chordata > Mammalia > Primates > Hominidae > Homo > Homo sapiens. The sequence continues at coordinate 58,304,560 of NC_000002.12, forward strand.
GGAACTTCTTAGAGACTTGTTGAATGGCTTTGACCAAAATGCTGATAGTGATATGAACAATAAGGTCCAGGCTGAGATGGTTTCAGATGAAGATGAGAAACTTGCTGGGAACTGGATTAAAGGTCACTCTTGGTATGCAAAGAGACTGGCAGCTCCCATATTGCCTTTGCCCTAGAGATCTGTGGAACTTTGAACTTGAGAGAGATGATTTAGGGTATCTGGAGGAAGAAACTTCTAAGCAACAAAGCATTCAAGAGGCAGCAGAGCATAAAAGTTTGGAAAATTTGCAGCCTGACAATGCCATAGAAAAGAAAACCCCATTTTCTGGGGAGAAATTCAAGCCAGCTTCAGGAATTTGCATAAGTAACAAGGAGCCAAATGTTAATCACCAAGACAATGGGGAAAATGTCTCCAGGACATGTCAGATAACTTCTCATCAGCCCCTCCCATCACTGGCTCAGAGTCCTCAGAGGGAAAAATGGTTTCCTAGGCTGAGTCCAGGGCCCCCTGCTGTGTGCAGCCTTAGGAGTTGGTGCCCTGCATCCCAGCCACTCCAGCCATGGCTGTGGCTAAAAGGGGCCAACACAGAGCTCATGCCTTGGCTTCAGAGGGTGCAAGACCCAACCAAGCCTTGGCAGCTTCCACATGGTGTTGGTCCTGCAGGTGCACAGAAATCAAGAATTGAGGTTTGGGAACCTCCACCTAGATTTCAGAGGATGTTTGGAAACACCTGGTTGTCCAGGGAGAGATGTGCTGCAGGAGCCCTCATTGGAGAACTTTGGCTAGGGCAGTGCAGTAGGGAAATGTGGAGTGGGAGCCCCAACACAGATTCCCCACTGAGGCACTGCCTAGTGAAGCTGTGAGAAGAGGATCACCATCTTCCAGACTCCAGACTCCAGAATGGTAGATCCACCAACAGCTTGTAGCATGCACCTGAAAAAGCTGCAGACACTCAAGGCCACCCGTGGAAGCAGCTGAAAGGGGAACTGCATCCTGCAAAGCCACAGGGGTGGAGCTGTCCAAGGCCATGTCCAAGGCCTTTGCATCAGTGTGACCTGGATGTGAGACATGGAGTCAAAAAAGATCATTTGGGAACTTTAAGATTTGACTGCCCCACTGAATTTTGGACTTGCATGGGGCCTGTAGCCCCTTCGTTTTGGCCAATTTCTCCCATTTGAGATGGATGTATTTACCCAATGCCTGTGTCTCCATTGTATCTAGGAAGTAACTAACTTGCTTTGGATTTTATAGGCTCATAGGCAGAAGGGACTTGCCTTATCTCAGATGAGACCTTGGACTGTGGACTTCTGAGTTAATGCTGAAATGAGTTAAGAACTGGGGACTGTTGGGAAGGCATGATTGGTTTTGAAATATGAGAACATAAGATTTGGGAGGGGCTGGGGTGAAATGATATGGTTTGGCTGTGTCCCCACCCAAATCTCATCTTGAATTGTAGCTCCCATAATCCCCATGTGTCATGGGAGGGAGGGGTTGGAAGGTAATTGAATCATGGAGGCAAGTTTTTCCCACAGTGTTCTTGTAATAGTGAATAAGTCTCATGAAATCTGATGGTTTTATAAAGGACAATTCTCCTACACCCGCTGTCTAGCCTGCTGCCATGAAAGACATGACTTTCCTCCTCCTTTGCCTTCCACCATGATTGTGAGGCCTCCCTAGTTATGCGGAACTGTGAGTCCATTAAACCTCATTTTTTTAATAAATTACTCAGTCTCAGGTATTTCTTCATAGCAGTATGAAAATGGACATATATATAATATATATATGCACACACACATATACACATACACCCCCACACACATACATATATACACACAAGTGTATATATATAATATATACACAATAAATGTGTGTACTATATATACAAATATGTATACACAAAACTGCATACAAAATAAGAAGGAAAATAACAATTTACTTAGAGGCCACAAAAAAGTAAATGTATTTTTCCATTTTTCAGTGAGAAAAAAGTATTCCCATGATCAATTTACCTTGATTTTTATTTTTTATTTTTATCTTCACTTCAGGACACGTGGTATAGTTAAATTATAAGGAAATAATTGTGAGTGCAGTCTATGTTCAATAGTTCATAAGCATAAAAATTTAACTTAGAACAACAAAAGCTTTTCCTACAAGTATGACCAATATTGTAAATTACCTCCAATGCTTCATGCAGAAATGTGGCATGGATTGCTTAATTATAATTTTTTCCCATTAGTTTTGTTTTTCTTTATTATCATGCCCTCACTGTAAGGTTCTATAATGCAATTTACAAAAGAAAAGCCATAAGATGCTGGGGAGAAAATGAGAAAAATCAAGAGGAGGTATTAACAGAAAAACAGGTAAATGAAATTATTATTATGAATGGTGCATTGTAAGATTTCTGTACTGTACTTTTATATATAAAGGAGAGGAGCTATTTTTTTAAAGCTGCATTTTAACTGTGGCAAAAGTACAGATTAATTGGTTATAAGTAAATGTTTATGATGAGTGCAGTTGTGTTGCTCCTGGCAAAATCGATCTGTATTCCCGTGCTTCTTAAGAAAGACCTTTATTTTTCTGGATGGGCATTTCTATTGGTTTATCAGTGAAGATATTTATAAATTTGGCTGCAGAGGATGCAGAGTGGCCCGTGAACAAGGTGCAGAGTATGTGGGTTCAATAATTATGAATTCCAAAGGATTTTTCAGGTTTAGTTGAGTGGTGACATCTATTCTCTTCTCTGCTGCCATGGCATGGAATATAATTTTTGCACTGGAGTGTCACATTGGCTCATGAAAAATAAAGCTATTTATTTCAAAAGAAACAATAGCAACATGATATGACAACTTGAGCTGGTCCAGTACAATTCAATTGTGTTGTTTTCTGATAACAGGGGTATAGCTGTGTCATCGCTTTATATGACTTTCTCCATATAAATTTGGGTTTTTTAAGTCTGAAATACAAATCCAGCTTTTATTGGTTTTATTAACTTTAATAACTTATACTGTAATAACTGCTGTTCTTTGCATTAAACTTACATTAAAAATGATATAGGGAGACTTGAATTAAAGTTAATATGATTGCAGTCTATAATAAATAATTAGGCTGCCTTCAGATAATAATATTGTCTATGACTTAGGTCCATTGTTTAATTCTTTTTTTCAAAACTCTTATCAGTTACGATGTTTATATTTTAGAGAATATAGAATAGTAATTTTCTTATATAAAAAGTATAGAAAGCTTTTGTTTTTTCCTGAAAATCACCAATAATCACACCTAGATTTTCAAATAAAAACAGTACATTCAATTTTATTCAACCAATTTAAAAAATTATTTTTCTGTTGTTTCCATAATACAAAGGTAGACTTTATCAGAAAAAACTTCTTGTGTTTTAATCTTTTTTCCACTGCAGATAAGTACAACCATGTATACTACACTTTTGAAAGTATAACAAATATGCCTGTTTTCATTTTCAGATTCTGCTATAAATTCTCCTCACCACTGTGTTGAGAAAGCCCAGGTGCCCATAAAAACCAGTGAATATATGCAAATGTTACACAGTTATAACAATCTATTTGGTATTAATAGATATTGTATATTAAATGCAAAAAAACAGAGGAACTTGAAGGGCAGAAATAAAACACACAAAGAAAATGCATGTTTTTGCTGATTAAGAAGTAACATTTATTTACAATCATTGTAATCTAGTCACGAGTGGTAATGAAATTTGCTACTGGGTTTTGAGCATAATGTTGCCTTCCCGAGTTGTCTTTTTCAATAATATACATTTACCCTTCAAGGCTTAATTTTAGGTATTTGTTTCTTCCTTCTGTGATTACTCATATCCACCCATGATCACTTTGTTTGATTTATGCTGGATTAAAACATTTTGCTCTGGCCACCACACTCTATGACTGGGTTGGAGTTGTAGTAACAGTGGGGAAAGGAACATGAGACAATAAGCAAAATCAAGAACAAAACAAAACAACAGTAAGAATAAAAACTGGCCATTATGGCCACATCTCTATTCTGGGAGAGGTGCTTGGCTGTATTTGACTCCAGGAGGTGATGTGGTTAAGGGTGAAAAGGTGGTTCCCATTGTTCCTCCCCTGAAACAGGTCAACTGGAAATGAGTTTCAGAGGCTGGTTAAAGTGGTGGCTTACACTTGCCTCCCAGGCTCCTGAGACAATGAAGGCAGGAATGACAGGGTAACATTTGGTCTGTATTCCTCAAGTTAGATGGCTGACCCAAATAGCTCATTCAGTGGATGCAAGGCCAGGGTGAGCCCATAAAAATCTGTCAAACATGGCTTTTTTTTTCTCCTGCCTTTCGTTGGTTGGGGAGCATAGGGAGAGACATTTCCTTCTTTTAAATCCCAATCCAAGGGAGGAAAGTGCCACATTGCCAGAAATGTATAGCCCTGAGAAGTGCATTTACTTGCTCCTAAGGCTTTTGTGAGACCAAAGGGTACCTACTTATAACTTTGGAGAAGTCACACCAATTACAAGGAGAGTGATTGTTCAGAGTAAATGAGTTGATGTAGATGATGTTTTTCTTATAGTAGAAGAATAATCACTTTTAGTATAAGGGGGCAGATAATATGATTTATAGGATTCTTTCTAGCTCTGTTTCATATACTGTTAATGACTTAATTTATTGCACATTTCTGTATGTGTAGAAAGGAAAATAATATGAGGTTTAAAAAGAGGAGCTTATTAAAAATCAGAAAAATGTGAAATATGTATTATTATTTCTAGGGAAAGAGTTGGAGCTCCATCTTTTACTAGCCAAATCTATGACCCTTAACCTTTCTAAGGGTGAGAAGGTGGTTCCCATTGTCCCTCCTTTGAAATAGGTCAACTGGAGATGAGTATCAGAGATTGGTTGAAGTGTGGCTTATACTTGCCTCCCAGGCTCCTGAGACACTGAAGGCAGGAATGACAGGGTAGTTTATATGATAAGGGAGTATATGATACTGCACTGTCATAGATAGGCCTCCTGGGTTTCCATTCAAGCAACAGCTCTCCACTTACTGCACATGCTGTTTTCATTTATCATGACATCTATTTCTGGAACTTTTTTCTCCAACGTGCTCAAGAACTTCATTCATTCATTCATTCATTCATTCAACAACTGCTTTTCGGGCATCTACTTTTTGCAAGGCAAAAGATCATGAGAATACTTTGCAGACAAGACAAAATTCCTGTCCTCAAGAAATTTATATCACAAAGAGGCAAACTATAAAAACTGACCAAACGATATGTGACAGTTACTAGAAGGAAGGTGAGCATAGGTACAATGGGAGTGTAGTGAAGTTCAAACCTTGAAGATTCAAACAAACTGACAATTCTCAAATTAGCAGGAGAAAAGGCACACAAATTTATGAATGTGCATAAGCAAGAGATCCATACGAGATATGAAAATCAAAGAAAGGTCAGATGCTTGAAGCTTATATACCATCTTCATAGGGGAAAGGGAGGTAGGGAAAATGTAGGCACTTTGAGGGGTTGTAAATGATTTTTAGGGAAAATGAACAGGCCCAAAGAGCAGAAAATAGTTTGTAAATGATTCTCTTTAAAAGCCGAATGGGACCAATAAGTTATGGGAAGGTAAGGGGTAGAACTGCACTGTGAACAAAAGTTGTCTTATTATGAAGATAAAGCCTCAAGTAATCTCTTGGAACTGCTCTAGGAAGAATAAATTAAAAGTCTCTCTGGGTGTGGTGATGACTTTTATCTGTCTTATTCTATGAGATTATTTAATGAGATTCCTAAGCAGGGGAACTTAAGAGAATTTCATTTCTTTTGGAAGAAGTTTTCATCAGTCAGATAAGGGAACGGTTAGACAGTTCCCCTTCCTGAACTTGGGGAAATGGAGGGACACCAAGAGAAAGAAAGTTGTTGGTTTGAGGCAGCTTCGAAGGTCTTCCAATTTCCTTTTATTCAAAATTGCTCAGAGGTGGGTGCTGTGGCCCACTCCTGTAATCCTAGCACTTTGGGAGGCTGAGGCAGGAAGGATGGCTTGAAGCCAGGAGTTCAAGACCAGCATGAGCAACAGTGGGACTTCATTTCTACAAAAAGAAGTACTCGGAATGTCAAACCACCTTACTTTGAAATATTGGCCTCTGTGCCCCAACGTTAGCCATGAGAACGAAGCATCCTTCCTTACATATTTTAAGTACAGCCTAAAAGTTTCTCCATCCATAGTGAACTGTAACCTAACGGACTGTGTAAACAGACTATAACCTACTCTTTTGATTGAGTTTTGGCCAATCAAATGTGGCCAACTGTTCAAACTGTATTCAAATAAGGCAAAGGCTGAGCTGTAACCAATCTAATGTTTCTGTATCTGACTTCCATTTTTTTCTGTATGTCACTTTCCTTTCTCTGTTCATAAATGTCCTTTGACTATGAGGCTGTGCTGGGGGCATCTCTAATCCTATTCTGGTTCGAGGGCTACCCATTCACAAGTCATTCTTTGCTATTGCCAGTTAATTTGCAGGCCCCCAATCACTGGATCCAAGTTGGAAAAAAAAATTTTTTTCTCCCAACAGGGACATAGTGAATGACCGACTGCAGATGCGAGTGTGGCACAGGACAGGCAGAGAGAGCAGTTGCATAATACAGAGCTTCAGATAAACAGACTCCTGATCCACAGCACAGCAGAAGAAAAACATGGGGGGAAGGCCAGCTCATGTCTGGAAATGGCTCCTCAGGGAGGCTTTCCATGATTAATTCATCACAATTCAGGATTGCCATCAGTATTGAAAATCCTGTTTATCATCATGCTTATAAGGCAGCCACCTCTCATTGGTGAACTTAACCTTAACTAAACTCTTTACACTAATTTATAAAACCTGAATGTCATGGTACATTTAATATTAGAACAGCTACTCTTTGACTTTGCAATCCAATCCTAAGACCTAAGAAAAACAAAAACATATGTCTACAAAAAATAATTGTACATAAATGTTTATAATGGATTTATTCCTGGGAGCAAAAAACTCAAAAACAACCCAAATATTACGTGGAATATCCATACAACAGAACAGTATTCAACCATACAAAGAATGATCTACTGGTACAAATAACATGAACATTCTCAACAATTTCAAAATATTATGCTAAACTAAAAAAGTCAGAAAAAGAATTTACTCTATATAGCTGCATTTACATGAAGTACAAGTTCAGGCCAAAACTAATCTATGATAACAGATTGTATGGTATGATTTTTAATTTTTGCTTTGCGAGAAGGGGGAGCAATTGACTAGAAAGTCCTTGTGGAAACTTCCTGGGATGATAGAAATGTTCTAAATCTTGATTAGAGAGGTAATCAAGATATTTACAGCTCATAAAACTATATTTAAAATCTGGGTCTTCTGTAAAACGTAAGTTTTACCTCAAGAGATTACTGCAAACAAACATACATGAGAGAAAGAGATACCACCATGGAGTTGTCAAGGTCAAAATAAAAATGTAGATTGATCATGAAAAGAAACAAACTCTGTAAAATACATGAAGAGATTTATTCTGAGCCAAATACGAGTGGCCATGACCAGAATCACAGTCTCAAGAGGGCCTGAGAACATGCACCCAAGGTGGTTGGGTTAAAACTTGATTTTAGGCCGGGCGCGGTGGCTCACGCCTGTAATCCCAGCACTTTGGGAGGCCGAGGCGGATGGATCATGAGGTCAGGAGATCGAGACCATCCTGGCTAACAAGGTGAAACCCCGTCTCTACTAAAAATACAAAAAATTAGCCGGGTGCGGTGGCGGGCGCCTGTAGTCCCAGCTACTCGGGAGGCTGAGGCAGGAGAATGGCGTGAACCCGGGAAGCGGAGCTTGCAGTGAGCCGAGATTGCGCCACTGCAGTCCGCAGTCCGGCCTGGGCAACAGAGCGAGACTCCGTCTCAAAAAAAAAAAAAAAAAAAAAAAAAAACTTGATTTTATACATTTTAAGGGGGACAGAAGTTACAGGCAAACCTCAGCCAATACATGTAGGGTATACATTGATTTAGTCTGTTAAGTAGGGACAACTCGAAGCAGGGGTTTTCAGGTCATAGGTGCATTCAAAGACTTTCTGATTGACAATTAGTTGAAAGCATTGAGTTATTATCTAAAGACTTGGAATCAATAGAAGGAATGTCTGGATAAGATAAGGGGTTGTGGACAACAAGGTTCTTATTCAGTAGATGACGTCTCGCAGGTGGCTTAGAGGGAATAGGTGGCAAATGGTTTGTATTTAAACCTTTCAAATGTGTTAGATTCTTAGCTAATCTCTTCAGGATCAAAAAAAGATCTGGAAAGGGAAGGGGGTTCTCTACAGAATGCAAATTTCTCCCACAAGAGACAGCTTTGCAGGGCCATTTTAAAATATGTCAAAGAAATATATATTGGGGTAAAATAACTTCTTCCAGGGCTTGCAGTCTGTCATGGGATGCTATGCTAGAGTCAGGTTGAAATTTGGTATCTTATTGCTACAAAGTCTGTTTTGTCAGTCTTAAGATTTCTGTTTTAATGCTAATGCTGGTCAGCTGTGCCTGAATTCCAAAGGGAGGAGAGTATAATGAAGCATGTCCAACCCCTACATCCCATCATGGCCTGAACTAGATTTTCAGGTTTACTTTGGAATCCCCTTGGCTGAGGGAAGGGGTCTATTCAGTTGGTTTTGGGGCTTAGAATTTGATTTCTGGTTTACAAGATGTGTTAAGCCATTCTCACACTGCTATAAAGAAATACCTGAGACTGAATAATTTATAAAGAAAAGAGGTTTAGGCCAGGGGTGGTGGCTCACACCTGTAATCCCAGCACTTTGGGAGGCCAAGGTGGGCGGATTGCCTGAGGTCAGGAGTTCAAGACCCACCTGGCCAACATGGTGAAACCCGTCTCTACTAAACATACAAAAATTAGCCAGGTGTCATGGCGGGTGCCTGTAATCCCAACTACTTGGGAGGCTGAGGCAGGAGAATCACTTGAACCCAGGAGGCGGAGGTTGCAGTGAGCTGAGATTGTGCCACTGCACTCCAGCCCGGGTGACAGAGCAAAACTTATTCTAAAAAAAAAAGAGGTTTAATTGGCTCACAGTTCTGCAGGTTGTACAGGAAACATGGCATCATCTGCTCAGCTTCTGGGGAGCTCTCAGGAAACTTACAATCATAGCAAAAGGCAAAGAGGGGGTGAGATGTCTCACATGGCTGGAGCTAGGAGGAAGAGAGAGAGAGGAGAGATGCTACACACTTTTAAACAACCAGATCTCATGAGGTGGTCTTCAGTATGTCGGAAGAACAAAGAGAAGGTTGGAAATTCCAGGAAAAGAAGAAATGTTAGATATTGTTTCTCCAGAAAGTTCAATGGCACTAGTAAAGTTTTCGAGAGCTGGCAAGTGGTGGTGGTGGGTAAAAGGGGGCTTAGAGTTGCAACAGTTTATTTCAGAAACCAGTAAATAAAACTGGTTTCAAGTTACAGCAAGCAGTTTCAGCAGCCAGTCTTGCAGAGAATTAAATTCTTGGAGCAGCATCATGTGCCCTGAGGGCTTTTGCCACCTGGATTCTCCACTCTGTTTTAGTTGAGTATGACAAGAATGGCCCAATTATTATCCCTTTTCACAGAGTGTCAGGCCTCTGAGCCCAAGGTAAGCCATCATATCCCCTGTGACCTAGACATACACATCCAGATCGATGACATTCCACTGATGACATTCCACCACAAAAGAAGTGAAAATGGCCTGTTCCTGCCTTAACTGATGACACTGTCTTGTGAAATTCCTTTTCCTGGCTCATCCTGGCTCAAAAGCTCCCCCACTGAGTACCTTGTGACCCCCACTCCTGCCCACCAGAGAACAACACCCCTTTTTCCTTTACCTACCCAAATCCTATAAAATGGCCCCACCCCTATCTCCCTTCGCTGATTCTCTTTTCGGACTCAGTCTGCCTGCACCCAGGTGAAATAAACAGCCATGTTGCTCACACAAAGCCTGTTCGGTGGTCTCTTCACACAGACGCGCATGAAATTTGGTGCCGTGACTCAGATCGGCGGACCTCCCTTGGGAGATCAATCCCCTGTCCTCCTGTTCTTTGCTCCATGAGAAAGATCCACCTACAAGCTCAGGTCCTCAGACCGACCAGCCCAAGGAACATCTCACCAATTTTAAATCGGGTAAGCGGCCTCTTCTTACTCTCTTCTCCAACCTCTCTCACTGTCCCTCAACCACTTTCTCCTTTCCACTCTTCAATCTCTCCCTTCTCTTAATTTCAATTCCTTTCATTTTTCGGGTAGAGAAAAAGGAGACACGTTTTATCCGTGGACCCAAAACTCCGGCACCGGTCATGGACTAGGGAAGGCAGCCTTCCCTTGGTGTTTAACCTTTGCAGGGATGCCTCTCTGATTATTCACCCAGGTTTCAGAGGTGTCAGACCACGCAGGGACACCTGCCTTGGTCCTTCACCCTTAGCAGCAAGTCCCACTTTTCTGGGGGAAGGGGCAAGTACCCCAATCCCTTCTCTCCATGTCTCTACCCCTTCTCTGCCTTTCTGGGGGGCAAGAAACCCCCAACCCCTTCTCCTTCACCCTGAGTGGCAACTCCCGCTTTTCTAGAGGAGGGGCAAGTACCCCAACCTCGTATCTCTGTGCCCCGATCCCTTATTTCCACGCCCCGACCTCTTATATCTCTGCACCCTGATCCCTTATTTCCATGCCCTGACCTTGTATCTCTGTGCCCCGACCCCTTCTCTGCTTTTCTGGAGGGCAAGAACCCCCCACCCCTTCTCCGTGTCTCTACTCTTTTCTCTGGTCTTGCCTCCTTCACTATAGGCAAGCTTCCACCTTACATTCCTCCTTCTTCTCCCTTAGCCTGTGTTCTTAAGAACTTAAAACCTCTTCAACTCTCACCTGACCTAAAATCTAAGCGTCTTACTTTCTTCTGCAATTCCGCTTGACCCCAATACAAACTCAAAAGTAGTTCCAAATAGCCGGAAAATGGCACTTTCAATTTTTCCATCCTACAAGATCTAAATAATTCTTGTCGTAAAACGGGCAAATGGTCTGAGGTGCCTGACGTCCAGGCATTCTTTTACACATCTGTCACTCTCTAGTCTCTGTTCCCAATGCAACTCATCCCAAATCTTGCTTCTTTCCCTCCCACCTGTCCCCTCAGTCCCAATTCTTCTGCTAGGTCCCAATTCTTCTGCTCCTGACATTAAATAAAACTCCAAAAATTAAATTCCGGCCCTCAAACCCCACAACAGGATTTAATTAACCTCACCTTCAAGGTGTACAATAATAGAAAAAAGTTGCAATTCCTTGCCTCCACTGTGAGACAAACCCCAGCCACATCTCCAGCACACAAGAACTTCCAAACGCCTGAACTGCAGTGGCCAGGCATTCCTCCAGAACCTCCTCCCCCAGGAGCTTGCTACAAGTGCCAGAAATCTGGCCACCAGGCCAAGGAATGCCTGCAGCCCAGGATTCCTCCTAAGCTGTGTCCCATCTGTGCGGGACCCCGCTGGAAATCGGACTGTCCAACTCACCTGGCAGCCACTCCCAAAGCCCCTGGAACTCTGGCCCAAGGTTCTCTGACTCCTTCCCAGATCTTCTTGGCTTAGCGGCTGAAGACTGACGCTGCCCGATCACCTCGGAAGCCCCCTAGGCCATCACGGACGCCGAGCTTCGGGTAACTCGCAGTGGAGGGTAAGTCTGTCCCCTTCTTAATCAATACCGAGGCTACTCACTCCACATTACCTTCTTTTCAAGGGCCTGTTTCCCTTACCTCCATAACTGTTGTGCGTATTGACAGCCAGGCTTCTAAACCTCTTAAAACTCCCCAACTCTGGTGTCAACTTAGACAATACTCTTTTAAGCACTCCTTTTAGTTATCCCCACCTGCCCAGTTTCCTTATTAGGCCGAGACACTTTAACTAAATTATCAGCTTCCCTGACTATTCCTGGATTACAGCTACATCTCATTGCCGCCCTTCTTCCCAATCCAAAGCCTCCTTTGCGTCCTCCTCTTGTATTCCCCTACCTCAACCCACAAGTGTAAGATACCTCTACTCCCTCTTTGGCGACCGATCAAGCACCCCTTACCATCTCATTAAAACCTAATCACCCTTACCCTGATCAATGCCAATATCCCATCCCACAACATGCTTTGAAAGGCTTTAATCCTTTCAAAGCATGTTATCACTCGCCTGCTACAGCATGACCTTTTAAGGCCTATAAACTCTCCTTACAATTCCCCCGTTTTACCTGTCCTAAAACCAGACAAGCCTTACAAGTTAGTTCAGGATCTATGCCTTATCAACCAAATTGTTTTGCCTATCCACCGCATGGTGGCAAACCCATATACTCTCCTATCCTCAATACCTCCCTCCAAATCCATTATTCTGTTCTGGATCTCAAACATGCTTTCCTTACTATTCCTTTGCACCCGTCATCCCAGCCTCTCTTCGCTTTCACTTGGACTGACCCTGACACCCATTAGGCTCAGCAAATTACCTGGGCTGTACTGCCGCAAGGCTTCACAGACAGCCCCCATTACTTCAGTCAAGCCCAAATTTCATCCTCATCTGTTACCTATCTTGGCATAATTCTCATAAAAACACACGTGCTCTCCCTGCTGATCATGTCCGATTAATCTCCAAAACCTCAATCCCTTACAAAACAACTCCTTTCCTTCCTAGGCATGGTTAGTGCAGTCAGAATTCTTACACAAGAGCCAGGACCGCACCCTGTAGCCTTTCTGTCCAAACAACTTGACCTTACTGTTTTAGCCTAGCCATCATGTCTCTGTGCAGCGGCTGCTGCCGCCCTAATACTTTTAGAGGCCCTCAAAATCAAAAACTATGCTCAACTTACTCTCTACATTTCTCACAACTTCCAAAATCTATTTTCTTCCTCATACCTGACGCATATACTTTCTGCTCCCCAGCTCCTTCAGCTGAACTCACTCTTTAAGTCCCACAACTACCATTGTTTCTGGCCCGGACTTCAATCTGGCCTCCCACATTATTCCTGATACCACACCTGACCCCCATGACTGTATCTCTCTGATCCACCTGATATTCACCCCATTTCCCCATATTTCCTTCTTTCCTGTCCCTCACCCTGATCACGCTTGATTTATTGATGGCAGTTCCACCAGGCCTAATCGCCACACACCAGAAAAGGCAGGCTATGCTATAGTACCAGCCACTAGCCCGCCTCTTAGAACCTCTCATTTCCTTTGCATCATGGAAATCTATCCTCAAGGAAATAACTTCTCAGTGTTCCATCTGCTATTCTACTACTCCTCAGGGATTATTCAGGCCCCCTCCCTTCCCTACACATCAAGCTCGAGGATTTGCCCCCACCCAGGACGGGCAAATTAGCTTTACTCAACATGTCCCGAGTCAGGAAACTAAAATACCTCTTAGTCTAGGTAGACACTTTCACTGGATAGGTAGAGTCCTTTCCTACAGGGTCTGAGAAGGCCACCACAGTCATTTCTTCCCTTCTGTCAGACATAATTCCTCAGTTTAGCCTTCCCACCTCTATACAGTCTGATAACAGACCAGCCTTTATTAATCAAATCAGCCAAGCAGTTTTTCAGGCTCTCAGTATTCAGTGAAACCTTTATATCCCTTACGGTCCTCTGTCTTCAGAAAAAGTAGAATGGACTAAAGGTCTTTTAAAAACACACCTCACCAAGCTCAGCCACCAACTTAAAAAGGACTGGACAATACTTTTACGACTTTCCCTTCTCAGAAGTCAGACCTGTCTTCAGAATGCTACAAGGTACAGCCCATTTGAGCTCCTGTGTAGACGCTCCTTTTTATTAGGCCCCAGTCTCATTCCAGACACCAGACCAACTTAGACCGTGCCCCAAAAAAAACTTGTCATCCCTACTATCTTCTGTCTAGTCATACTCCTATTCACCGTTCTCAACTACTCATACATGCCCTGCTCTTGTTTACACTGCCGGTTTACACTGTTTCTCCAAGCCATCACAGCTGATATCTCCTCGTGCTATCCCCAAACTGCCACTCTAAACTCTTGAAGTAAATAAATAATCTTTGCTGGCAGGACTATGCTGAATGTCCTTAGGCACTCTCTAATCAGATGTCCTGAGTCGTCCCAGTTGTTAGACCTTTTATACCTGTTTTTCTCCTTCTCTTATTCCATTTAGTTTTTCAATTCATACAAAACTGTATCCAGGCCATCACCAATAATTCTAAATTACAAATGTTCCTTCTAACAACCCCACAATATCACCCCTTACCACAAAATCTTCCTTCAGCTTAATCTCTCCCACTCTAGGTTCCCACGCCGCCCCTAATCCCGCTCGAAGCAGCCCTGAGAAACATCGCCCGTTATCTCTCCATACCATCCCCCAAAATTTTTGCTGTCCCAACACTTTACCACTATTTCATTTTATTTTTCTTATTAATATAAGAAGACAGGAATGTCAGGCCTCTGAGCCCAAACTAAGCCATCATATCCCCTGTGACCTGCACATACACATCCAGATCGCCGGTTCCTGCCTTAACTGATGACATTCCACCACAAAAGAAGCGAAAATGGCCTGTTCTTGCCTTAACTGATGACATTGTCTTGTGAAATTCCTTTTCCTGGCTCAAAAGCTCCCCCACTGAGTACCTAGTGACCCCCACTCCTGCCCGCCAGAGAACAACCCCCCTTTTTCCTTTACCTACCCAAATCCTATAAAACGGCCCCACCCCTCTCTCCCTTCGCTGACTCTCTTTTTGGACTCAGCCCGCCTGCACCCAGGTGAAATAAACAGCCATGTTGCTCACACAAAGCCTGTTTGGTGGTCTCTTCACACGGACACGCATGAAACAGAGTAAATGTGAAAAAGTTAGTAAATAATGCAGGAGAGTGATGTGAACTGAATTCAAAATTTCTGAAAACAAATATGAGGAATTAACAAGAGAAAAAGCAGGCAAATTAGAATAGAAAAACAAGACCACAAAATAAAAAAAGGAAGCACAAACCACGTATCGAAGAAGTAAGGTGGCTAGAGGAATTTGTATATTGTTCATCATCTGGGATGTCGTGGCCCAGGAATGGCCATGACTGGCTCCTGGATGGAGGTATTGAGAAGGCTCAGGCTCGCAAAAAGTAAGTGCTCTGGTGCAGCCACAGCTGACTCAGCCTTATTTAAGGTATAAAATATCATTGCTCAGTTAGAGTCATGGCAGGCTTTGCCTGATTTTGGAGATTTAGGGGTATTTGAATAAACATAATTCACAATCTTATCCAAAACCTAATCAGCACACTCCAAACAATTCATGCCTGAAATGCTCAGTTAGAGATCCCTTGAGATGTTCTCTATTTCTGGTTCCCAATTAAGCTGAAACAGGGACAGCTATTTGCATAGTATTTTGGCATATTCACTCAACCCAGGTAGAGCAGAGATTAGTGAAAATGGAAACTAATAGAAGAATAAAACTGCACTATCCTCTGGAAAATAGTTGGTATTTGTTTTTGCAGTATTGGTAAATGTTTGTGAGGTTCTGACTTTTCTAAATGGGTGGTGTGATTTTTACTTTTTTTTTTTTTTTTTGAGATGGAGTCGTGCTCTGTCACCAGGCTGGAGTGCAGTGGCACGATCTCGACTCACTGCAGCCTCCGCCTCCCAGGTTCAAGAGATTCTCCTGTCTCAGCCTCCCGAGTAGCTGGGACTACAGGTGTACACCACCACGCCTAGCTAATTTTTGTATTTTTAGTAGAGATGGGGTTTCACCTCATTGGCCAGGATGGTCTCGATCTCTTGACCTCATGATCTGCCTGCCTTGGCCTCCCAAATTGCTGGGATTACAGACATGAGCCACCGTGCCCGGCCTTTCTTTCATTTTTATGCTGAAACAGCTCACATCCTAGAAAACCCTTCTACATACAACAGATGAATCCATAGGATTTAATTCTGACATTTCTTGTCATCGCATTCTGAAATCTTAAGTCATTCCTTGTTAAAAAGATGAACTCAACATAACATATCTTTTTAGGTTCCCTGGAAGTTCTCATAAAGAACTATATTATTGCCTACTTCAATTTACAAAATGAATTTCATGTTAGCTAGGTTTTTCCTAATATATTTTCACATCTATAACTAAATATATATTTTCATAGATTCACATATCATGACAGAATTTATGATTTCAGTTATTGTGCCCCTAAAATTTGTGATGCTTGAAAAACATTTCTGATAAGCAAAATTCATACTAGTGTTGACATATATAGAATATATGAATTTCAGCTTGCAAAAACCTAGTGGTTAAAATTTATAATCTATACAGTTCTTAACAGTTTTTATACCTGTACTTTCCTAACCTTCATTACACTTAATTTCAATTTATTTTACATATGGACATTTTTAATTTGACTTAAATTATATATATTTTTATGTATAGTGACATCTATAATGTGATCTAGCCTTTGCATTACTCATTTTCTACTCTTTAAAATATATATATAAAATATTTTCTGATGTCATTACAGTATTACATATAACTTGTTTCTGAAACATTTTAACATTATCTCTATAATCCTTATGGCATATTGCTGAGTTACTTCAGTGCAATCAAATTATGTAAGAATTTAGTTTTTAATGTACTTTCCATATACAATATATTTATTTTAGAATTCTTAAAGAATTCTTAAAGAATTCTAAAATACATAGATATTTTGCATTAGTAACATATATATTAAGTGCAATAAATAATTATACATTACATATAATTATAGATAATTGCACTTTGAAAAATGGTGACACACACTAGCAATTACGACTTCGAAGGTTTTTTTCACTTATTCATTGTTATTCACACTAAGTAATCATCATCATCAGGGATAACTGGCTATTTTTTTCTCCTTCATTACTAGAAAGAAGTTTCTTACTTATGATCAAACTATGTCTAAAATTTTATTGACAAATTGGCTATTAGAAACTTTAAATTTCTTAAGTAACAAAATAAAACAAAGTTGTAAATACTGATTGGACTCCACTGAGGATACTTTCTCAGTACCATCCCTTCTCTGAGAATATTCCCTTACCATAGAAGTGACCATGATGTTTCAATGTGACCATTGCTCTATGACAACAGTTGATGGAACAAAAGTAAAGATGTCTGCTTAGAATGGTTAATTATGTCATTAGAATGGTTAATTATGTCAACTACCTGTAACTTACCATGTGGTCTTGGTCAAGTTTCTGAACCTTCATCCATAGTCTCCATGTCTCTAATTTAGGGATCTAACCATTTCACATGTATCAATGTGATTTCAGTTAACAGTCACCCAAAACTCTGACTCAATTTTTTAAAACAGAAATGCAGATGTATTCACTATTCATCAATATAACACAAAATTCCAAGAGTGTACAAGTACTGGAATATTTAAATTAGTTACTAAATTACATGGCGAAGGACCCTAGTACTTTTCATCTTTCTGTAAGGCATTTCAGAATGATTACTTAGCAACCTCCTGGTTGAAAGATGACTTCTGCCGTTCTGGTTTTATCCCTTTCTGAAGTATAGCTTCACTTACAAATAAAACTATATCTGATGGAAGAAAGAGGACTTATTTCTTCCTGTGCATTCTTTTTCTTCTTTTTCCTTAGAGCAAAAAGTAAGCTTTTCCGGAAGTACTTCAACAGGCCTCTCCCATATCTTGTTGACAAGAAATGAGTAACATGCTTGCCCCAAATCACTTATTGATAAGGCAAATGATAAAGTATGATTGGTTTAGATTTATCTTGTTTTTTGAACTTGAGTCACATGGAGGTGTGGAGTGTACCCCAACTCAAAGTTTTACATACAAGAAAGAACAAAGGAATGCCTTTTAGGCAACGAACAGTGTTTTTCATATCACTTGGCATTTATGGGCAGCAAACTAGATAAAGTATGTGACAAATCTTCTTAAATTTTAAGGATATGAACAGGTATGAATATTTGGTGTTTCATAACAACTCATAAATAAAGTCTACCATTCTGCCAGGTGCTCACACCTGTAATCCCAGCATACTGGGAGGCCGAGGTGGGCGGATAACTTGAGCTCACAAGTTCAAGATCAGCCTGGGCAACATGGCAAAACCCCATCTCTACAAAAAATACAGAAATTAGCTGGGTGTGCTGGTTCGTGCCTGTAGTCTCAGCTACTTGGGAGGCTGAGGTAGGAGGATGGCTCGAGCCTGGGAGGCAGAGGTTACAGTGAGCAGAAGTTCTGCCACTGCATTCCAGCCTAGGTGATAGAGCCAGACCTTGTCTCAAAACAAACAAACAGTCACCATTCTGACAGTGTAGTTGTTTTTGGTTATTAGGAGAAAAACAATCATATTAAATATTCTTAAATTAATTCACACTAATTTGTGAATGACTATTAGCCTTCTTATGTCTTAAAAGTTATTCGTATTTAAAAAAAGGAGATGTTTATAAGCCAATAATTCAGTAACAAATAGATTTTCCCGTATAAAACAAAGTAACCTAAAAAATCTTTGAACTGTGGAAGAAATTACCAAGGATTCTGGTGAAAACACATTTTTCAGTTGCCTCTGGAACCTACCTTCAAAGTCAGAAACCTAAATTGTTCCTTCTTACCAGCTTCTTCCCTTCTCCTGGTTCTGAACTCAAAGATCCTGCATAGTGCCAATGTTAACGTGCAACTTTCATGCATATGATAGAGGAATCACCAGTTATCCATGGAATTCCCCTAATGGATCATTTCAAAATTGCATTTGGATTTGATGGCTCAGTTTATCATATTTGACACAGTTTGAAAAGATGGGAAAATGTTACCTTGCAGAGCTTCAAGATTGGGAGGGGAAATTCAGAGCTACTTGTGTTATTTTTAATACCACCTGGAGGAGGCTCTACATCTGAAGACTTGATTGTTCAGCCTAGGGAGAAAATCGGTTCAATTATTTACCTTTGTACAATTTTAAGTTTGGGTCCAAAAGATATGCGGGTCACAGTATTGTTACCAGTATGCTTTAGGTCAGAACTCGATTTTGCTGATCACTAACTGAGCTGAAATTCCCCTATTGCATTTGCTTATATGGCCTAATATATTGTCTGTGGCTCTGGCACAGTGGTTTTCACATAATAAATACTTGTAGATTTGAATGGAAAGGAACTGAAATGAAAATACTCATTTTTTATGAGCCTTCTAAAATTGAATTGGTAACAAGATTCCATTCCTTAGGTATTACTAAAGCTCAGTTTGTTGTCATTTTAGGATCCAAATTTCTGAGTCCATCGTGTACTTATAACAAACTTCTGAAATTTGTCTTCCTGAAACCTGATTAATTATAGAAGGATTAAATACTTTTGCTCTTTCTACCTAGTGTGGAACACAATTCAAATTTCTACTCCCAACTATAAAATGCTTTTTCTGTTATCCCAAGGTTGTTTCTGAAATATGGACTCTTTTATTGTATATTAAGTATTGGTTAATGAATATATATACATATACATAAATGTATGTATGTATCATGATGAATATATATACATACATACACATAAGTATATGTGTATATATATTCATTATGATATGATAATACTTATCTTTATGAAAGAAAGATATTACTCCCAGTGAAATCATTTAGAGCACCTATGAGCAGGAGGGAGCAATATGAGATGGATCATAACACAAGGCCTGTATGTATGTTTTCATTACTTTTTTCCAGGTAATAATTAAGTCTATGTGACCACTAGGGAGAAGCAACCCCTTCTGCTTGGCCAGCAAAGTTCATGAGGCAGATGACTTTATTGAATAGATCAACAGTCTCCCATTTGAACAGTTATGTTTTAACTATCTACCATGTCCAGATTGAGTGTAACTTGGAGGGGAATTGGCACTTGTCGTCGATTTTTTGGTTAGGATATTTTTGCTTCAAAATTGAACATTTTAGCTGAAATAAACATATATCATTTGTGAAAATTGGAAAGGTATCGGGAAAAGGTCTATTCAAAAAAGAAAATTTTAAATAAAAATTAATGAGTTTGAAAAAATCTTTAAAACATAATTTCTTTTAATAGCCCTATACATTTCAATTATATTGAAATATATATGTATATATTTTATATATATATATATATATATATATATATATAATTTTTTTTTTTTTTGAGACGGAGTCTCACTCTGTCCCTAGGCTGGAGTGCTGTGCTGTGATCTCGGCTCACTGCAACCTCCAACTCCCTGGTTCAAGGGATTCTCCTGCCTCAGCCTCCTGAGTAGCTGGGATTACAGGCATGCACCACCACGCCCGGCTAATTTTTGTATTTTAGTAGAGACGGAGTTTCACTATGTTGGCCATGAGGGTCTTGATCTCCTGACCTCATGATCCGCCTGCCTCGTCCTCCCAAAGTGTATTTTTATTGCATTTAAATTAGGGGTAAGCAGAAACAGCCTCAGTAACTTGCTGGTTCCACTTCTTAGATCTTTTTATCCAACATATTTTCATATTTTAGGTCTAAACAGTGCCATTTTCATGCAAAATAAGCAAATAAATAAATAAATAAAAGAAACATAATTAAATTTGGGGGAAGCACTGGACTCTATTACCTAGCTTGCTTTGAGGTGAATTTTGGTTTTGAATTATTAATTTTAGTCCCTTTGTCTGCTGACCTAGGATAGACAGATAATGGGGGAGAGTTGGATCACTTTTAAGAGAAGATTTTCTTTTTTCGTTAAAATTGCTACTGGAGCTGTGAATGGGAAAAGAGGGCAACTGCAAATGGGCATGAAAGATCTTTTTGGGCAATGAAAACATTTTAAAACTGGATTGTGGGGTGGAGCCAAGGTGGCCGAATAGGAACAGCTCCAATCTACAGCTCCTAGCATGAGCGACGCAGAAGACAGGTGATTTCTGCATTTCCAACTGAGGTACTGGGTTCATCTCACTGGGGCTTGTCAGACAGTGGGTGCAGGACCGTGGGTGCAGCGCACCGAGTGTGAGCTGAACTAGGATGAGGCATCGCCTCACCCGGGAAGTGCAAGGGGTCAGGGAATTCCCTTTCCTAGCCAAGGAAAGGGGTGACAGATGGCACCTGGAAAATCGGATCACTCCTACCCTAATACGGCACTTTTCCAATGGTCTTAGCAAATGGCACACCAGGAGATTACATCCCACGCCTGGCTCGGAGAGTCCTACGCCCACGGAGCCTCATTCATTGTGAGCACAGCAGTCTGAGATCAAACTGCAAGGTGGCAGTGAGGCTAGGGGAGGGGCGCCCGCCATTGCCAAGGCTTGAGTAGGTAAACAAAGCGGCTGGGAAGCTCGAACTGGGTGGAGCCCACCACAGCTCAAGGAGGCCTGCCTGCCTCAGTAGACTCCACCTCTGGCGGCAGGGCACAGACAAACAAAAGGCAGCAGAAACCTCTGCAGACTTAAATGTCCCTGTCTGACAGCTTTGAAGAGAGTAGTGGTTCTCCCAGCACGCAGCTTGAGATCTGAGAACAAACAGACTGCCTCCTCAAGTGCGTCCCTGACCCCTGAGTAGCCTAACTGGGAGGCACCCCCCAGTAGGGGCAGACTGACACCTCACATGGCCGGGTACTCCTCTGAGACAAAACTTCCAGAGGAACGATCAGGCAGCAACATTTGCTATTCACCAATATCCACTGTTCTGCAGCCTCCGCTGCTGATACCCAGGCAAACAGGGTCTGGAGTGGACGTCCAGCAAATTCCAACAGACCTGCAGCTGAGGGTCCTGACTGTTAGAAGGAAACCTGACAAACAGAAAGGACATCCACACCAAAACCACATCTGTATATCACCATCATCAAAGACCAAAGGTAGATAAAACCACAAAGATTGGGAAAAAACAGAGCAGAAAAACTGAAAATTCTAAAAATCAGAGTGCTTCTCCTCCTCCAAAAGAACGCAGCTCCTCACCAGCAATGGAACAAAGCTGGATGGAGAATGACTTTGATGAGTTGAGAGAAGGCTTCAGATGATCAAACTACTCCCAGCTAAAGGAGGAAGTTTGAACCCATGGCAAAGAAGCTAAAAACCTTGAAAAAAGATTAGATGAATGGCTAACTAGAATAACCAATGCAGAGAAGTCCTGAAAGGACCTGTTGGAGCTGAAAACCATGGCACGAGAACTATGTGAAGAATGCACAAGCCTCAGTAGCTGATTCGATCAGCTGGAAGAAAGGGTATCAGTGATGGAAGATCAAATGAATGAAATGAAGTGAGAAGAGAAGTTTAGAGAAAAAAGAATAAAAAGAAATGAACAAAGCCTCCAAGAAATATGGGACTATGTGAAAAGACCAAATCTACGTCTGATTGGTGTACCTGAAAGTGATGGGGAGAATGGAACCAAGTTGGAAAACACTCTGCAGGATATTATCCAGGAGAACTTCCCCAATCTAGAAAGGCAGGCCAACATTCAAATTCAGGGAATACAGAGAAAATCACAAAAATACTCTTTGAGAAGAGCAACTCCAAGACACATAATTGTCAGATTCACCAAAGTTGAAATGAAGGAAAAAAATGATAAGGGCAGCCAGAGAGAAAGGTCGGGTTACCCATAAAGGGAAGACCATCAGACTAACAGCTGATCTCTCCGCAGAAACTCTACGAGCCAGAAGAGAGTGGGGGCCAATATTCAGCATTCTTAAAGAAAAGAATTTTCAACCCAGAATTTCATATCCAGCCAAACTAAGCTTCATAAGTGAAGGAGAAATAAAATCCTTTACAGACAAGCAAACGCTGAGAGATTTTGTCACCACCAGGCCTGTCCTAAAAGAGCCCCTGAAGGAAGCACTAAACATGGAAAGGAACGACCAGTACCAGCCACTGCAAAAACATGCCAAATTGTAAAGACCATCAAGGCTAGGAAGAAACTGCATCAACTAACAGGCAAAATAACCAGCTAACATCATAATGACAGGATCAAATTCACACATAACAATATTAACCTTAAATGTAAATAGACTAAATGCTCCAATTAAAAGACACAGACTGGCAAATTGGATAACGAGTCAAGACCCATCAGTGTGCTGTATTCAGGAAACCCATCTCACGTGCAGACACACATAGGCTCAAAATAAAGGGATGGAGGAAGATCTACCAAGCAAATGTAAAACAAAAAAAAAGGCAGGGGTTGCAATCCTAGTCTCTGATAAAACAGACTTTAAACCAACAAAGATCGAAAGAGACAAAGAAGGCCATTACATAATGGTAAAGGGATCAATTCAACAAGAAGAGCTAACTATCCTAAATATATATGCACCCAATACAGGAGCACCCAGATTCATAAAGCAAGTCCTGAGTGACCCACAAAGAGACTTAGACTCCCACACATTAATAATGGGAGACTTTAACACCCCACTGTCAACATTAGACAGATCAATGAGACAGAAAGGCAACAAGGGTATCCAGGAATTGAACTCAGCTCTGCACCAAGCAGACCAAATAGACATCTACAGAACTCTCCACCCCAAATCAACAGAATATACAATCTTTTCAGCACCACACCACACCTATTCCAAAATCGACCACATAGTTGGAAGTAAAGCATTCCTCAGCAAATGTAAAAGAACGGAAATTATAACAAACTGTCTCTCAGACCACAGTGCAATCAAACTAGAACTCAGGATTAAGAAACTCATTCAAAACCACTCGACTACATGGAAACTGAACAACCTGCTCCTGAATCACTACTGGGTACATAACGAAATGAAGGCGGAAATAAAGATGTTCTTTGAAACCAATGAGAACAAAGACACAACGTACCAGAATCTCTGGGACACACTGAAAGCAGTGTGTAGAGGGAAATTTATAGCACTAAATGCCCACAAGAGAAAGCAGGAAAGATCTAAAATTGACACCCTGACATCACAATTAAAAGAACTAGAGAAGCAAGAGCAAATACATTCAAAAGCTAGCAGAAGGCAAGAAATAACTAAGATGAGAGAAGAACTGAAGGAAATAGACACAAAAAACCCTTCAAAAAAATCAGTGAATCCAGGAGCTGGTTTTTTGAAAAGATCAACAAAATTGATAGACTGCTAGCAAGACTAATAAAGAAGAAAAGAGAGAAGAATCAAATAGATGCAATAAAAAATGATAAACGGGATATCACCACTGATCCCACAGAAATACAAACTACCATCAGAGAATACTATAAACACCTCTATGCAAATAAACAAGAAAATCTAGAAGAAATGGATAAATTCCTTGACACATACACCCTCCCAACACTAAACCAGGAAGAAGTTGAATCTCTGAATAGACCAATAACAGGCTCTGAAATTGAGGCAATAATTAATAGCTTACCAACCGAAAAAACTCCAGGACCAGATGGATTCACAGCCGAATTCTACCAGAAGTACAAGGAGGAGCTGGTACCATTCC
Source organism: Homo sapiens (assembly GCF_000001405.40). Classification (NCBI taxonomy): domain Eukaryota; kingdom Metazoa; phylum Chordata; class Mammalia; order Primates; family Hominidae; genus Homo; species Homo sapiens. The sequence continues at coordinate 58,328,920 of NC_000002.12, forward strand.
TTCTGAAACTATTCCAATCAATAGAAAAAGAGGGAATCCTCCATAACTCATTTTATGAGAACAGCATCATCCTGATACTAAAGCCTGGCAGAGACACAACCAAAAAAGAGAATTTTAGACCAATATCCCTGAAGAACATTGATGCAAAAATCCTCAATAAAATACTGGCAAACCAAATCCAGCAGCACATCAAAAAGCTTATCCACCATGATCAAGTGGGCTTCATCCCTGGGATGCAAGGCTGGTTCAACATACACAAATCAAATAAATGTAATCCAGCATATAAACAGAACTAACGACAAAAACCACATGATTATCTCAATAGATGCAGAAAAGCCCTTTGACAAAATTCAACAACGCTTCATGCTAAAAACTCTCAATAAATTAGGTATTGATGGGACATATCTCAAAAAAATAAGAGCTATCTATGACAAACCCACAGCCAATATCATACTGAATGGGCAAAAACTGGAATCATTCCCTTTGCAAAGTCTCAGGATACAAAATCAATGTGCAAAAATCACAAGCGTTCTTATACACAAATAACAGACAAACAGAGAGCCAAACCATGAGTGAACTCCCATTCACAATTGCTTCAAAGAGAATAAAATACCTAGGAATCCAACTTACAAGGGATGTGAAGGACCTCTTCAAGGAGAACTACAAACCACTGCTCAAGGAAATAAAAGAGGATACAAACAAATGGAAGAACATTCCATGCTCATGGGTAGGAAGAATCAATATCATGAAAATGGCCACACTGCCCAAGGTAATTTGTAGATTCAAGGCCATCCCCATCAAGCTACAAATGACTTTCTTCACAGAATTGGAGAAAACTGCTTTAAAGTTCATATGGAACCAAAAAAGAGCCCACATTGCCAAGTCAATCCTAAGCCAAAAGAACAAAGCTGGAGGCATCACACTACCTGACTTCAAACTATACTACAAGGCTACAGTAACCAAAACAGCATGGTACTGGTACCAAAACAGAGATATAGACCAATGGAACAGAACAGAGCCCTCAGAAATAACGCCGCATATCTACAACTATCTGATCTTTGACAAACCTGACAAAAACAAGAAATGGGGAAACGATTCCCTATTTAATAAATGGTGCTGGGAAAACTGGCTAGCCATATATAGAAAGCTGAAACTGGATCCCTTCCTTACACCTTATACAAAAATTAATTCAAGATGCATTAAAACTTAAATGTTAGACCTAAAACCATAAAAACCCTAGAAGAAAACCTAGGCAATACCATTCAGGACATAGGCATGGGCAAGGACTTCATGTCTAAAACGCCAAAAACAATGGCAACAAAAGCCAGAATTGACAAATTGGGATCTAATTAAACTAAAGAGCTTCTGCACAGCAAAAGAAACTACCATCAGAGTGAACAGGCAACCTACAGAATGGGAGAAAACTTTTGCAATCTACTCATCTGACAAAGGGCTAATATCCAGTATGTACAATGAACCCAAACAAATTCACAAGAAAAAAACAAACAACCCCATCAAAAAGTGGGTGAAGGATATCAACAGACACTTCTCAAAAGAAGACATTTATGCAGCCAAAAGACACATGAAAAAATGTTCATCATCACTGGCCATCAGAGAAATGCAAATCAAAACCACAGTGATATACCATCTCACACCAGTTAGAATGGCAACCATTAAAAAGTCAGGAAACAACAGGTGCTGGAGAGGATGTGGAGAAATAGGAACACTTTTACACTGTTGGTGGGATTGTAAACTAGTTCAACCATTGTGGAAGTCAGTGTGGCAATTCCTCAGGGATCTAGAACTAGAAATACCATTTGACCCAGCCATCCCATTACTGCGTATATACTCAAAGGATTATAAATCATGCTGCTATAAAGACACATGCACATGTATGTTTATTACAGCACTGTTCACAATAGCAAAGACTTGGAACCAACCTCAATGTGCATCAATGATAGACTGGATTAAGAAAATGTGGCACATATACACCATGGAATACTATGCAGCCATAAAAAATGATGAGTTCATGTCCTTTGCAGGGCCATGGATGAAGCTGGAAACCATCATTCTCAGCAAACTATCGCAAGGACAGAAAACCAAACACCACATGTTCTCGCTCATAGGTGGGAATTGAACAATGAGAACACATGGACACAGGAAGGATAACATCACACACCAGGGCCTGTTGTGGGGTGAGCGGATTGGGGAGGGATAGCATTAGGAGATATACCTAATGTTAAATGACGAGTTAATGGGTACAGCACACCAACATGGCACATGTATACATATGTAACAAACCTGCACGTTGTGCACATGTACCCTAAAACTTAAAGTATAATAAAAATAAATAAATAAATAAATAAATAAAAATAAAACTGGATCATGGTAATGGCTGCACAATTCTGTAAACTTACTAAAAATTATTGAATTGTACACTTAAAGGGGGTGAATTTTATGGTATGTAAATTACACTTTATTAAAGCTATTACACACACACATACTGAAATAAAATAATAAATGGCCCCCACACAAAGCCAAAAAAAATGCTTTTCTGGCACTTATATGGATTAAATATCTGTGAATGAGTGAGATTCATAGCATACTTTGTTAAGTATTTTCTGTATTTCTTTAGTAAGACATAATTAAAACTAAACAGGAGAACAAAACCTATTTTAATAAATATTCAATATTAAGTGGTCACTGTTTCAGTTATATTTACAGGCATCTTTTTTCCACCTGGTTTGCGGTCTTCCTTCTACAAGATACCATGAAGGACCAAAGAAAAGCAAACATTTGATCTTCAAAATGAACTTTCATCAAAGGAAAAGGTAGCCTCACATTTATTTAAAATTTTAATTTTCTATGTAATGGGAAAAATCATTTCTTTCATCAACGAGGAGAAAGGGTAAAATCCAAAATGAACGGAACATCAACAACAACAAAAACCCAAAAACTTTGTTTCCTAACAGTTTAAATCAGATTTAGGGGCCAATATTTCATCTTTTATCTTTCTTCCTATAGTTACAAATATGTACATATAAATACTACTTGGTTAAACTTTAAAAATACACTTAGTAAACTTTAGAGCCAGGGTTCAAACCCAGATTTGTATCTGGAGCCCACATGTGCCTCACTGCACTGTGATCACTGATACACACACAGGTATATGTATGGAACAAAGAAGGAGTCTTCAAGATGAAATTCCTGGGATTGTTTTTCCTGACCAAAATCTATTAAGGTTTATACAATTTATTCATTGCATCTGTAAGAAGATGGCTCTAAAGAAGAAATTAATGGTGGCAATGTGTGAAGAAGGGAACAGAGAACAGTGGCATGGGTATGAAATACAATTTTCCATGTAACAATCCTGTTTATTTCATGAGCCAGAGACAGTACACACTCAGGTGTTGTGGTCAGGGTGGGAATATAAGGTTGCCGTACTGGGGATAATGGTAAATGAACTCAACTCCAAGGTGGGAAACCTTTATCAGATTGTAACTATTCTCACTCTTTCAAAAAGTCAGGGATTATACACATTTTTCCTTCCAGACACAGAGAAAAGAAGATCAGAAATGGCTTAAATACAGATATTTAATTTTCAAGATAAGTCATTTGAAGTAAGCAAATTGAAGTCACATATATCTTTCTATGTCTTGGAATTACATGGATCTATGTATTAGCTAGTAATAGCAGAGCTAGTTAGAGAGAGAGAAATATGGCTGATTAATATTAAAGCAAAAATGAGGGCCTTTAGTCATGTCCAGAAGGATAATAAATGAATAAACCTTTTTTGCAATTAACATTTAAGCCGTAAAATAAGAAAATAGCCATTGTAACACAGAGATCATTAATATGTGAATGGCATGGGTCATGGAAATCAGTTAATGTGAAAAGCAAACAAACAAACGAACAAAACAGAATGAACAATTTGAAAGAGATCTCAAACCAGGGAAAACAGAAACATTTATTTTAGCTACAGATGGCTCACTGAATCCCCTAGTGAGGAATTTAGTAATTAATACCTGAATTGTTATCATTTTACTTAAGTTGCCTAAGTAATAAAGCTTATAGTGTCTCCATACTATAAATTCTAAACCTGTGATTCCATATCTCATTTTGTGGCCTTATGAAATTCTGGCAGCATGGTATATAGTAAGAAAAGGACAGACTTGGGGGTAAGGAAGACAAGTGCTCTCTTCTGAGCTCTGCCTCTCACTAGACATGCACCTGAGTGGTTTACTTATTTGTTCCTCATCTAAAAATAAAGATAATAGGCCAGACATGGTGGCTCACACCTGTAATCCCAGCATTTTGGAAAGCCGAGTCTGAAGGATTGCTGGAGGCCGGGAATTTGAGACCAGCCCTAGCAACATAGCAAGATCCCATCTTTACAAAAAATAAAAAATCAGCCAGGCATAGTGGTGCATGCCTGTAGTCCTAGCTGCACAGGAGGCTGAGGCAGGAAGATCACTTGAGCCCAGGAGGTCACAGCTATAATCAACCACGATTGTGCCACTGCACTCCAGTCAGAGTGACAGAAAGAGACTTTTTCTCTAAAAATAAGATAAATATTAATAAAATAAAATTAAAATGCAGATAATATTACCCATGGTGGTGGCTACAGATCATCTTTATAGGAGTGGCATGAGGATAGAAATCTTGCTGGTTAGGGACGAAGAGAGTCTACTTGAAACTGCATTTGCAGAATAAATGGTTTTTACTTAAATATATTTGAAGTGATGGAAATTATAGGGAAGTTAAAAATCACCCCATACCCAAATTATTCATTGGCTCTACCTTGAGATGCAGGCTTATCCAGAAAAATTTTTGGGTAATCTATGCATCAAACTCACTAGACACTATTAGCTTTCTTTACTGTCAGCTTCCTGTGAGTTCATATTTCACATAGGTTGATATTAGAATAAAAATTATGATACTTGGAGGAAAAAAAAATCAGGTATGCTGCACATCTGAAAGGCTAGTGTGGGGAGACCTGTTTATCTTTCTTGGCCACATACAGAAATACACCAATTATTAGGGGCATGCCGAATTACAGCATCAATATCTGAGTATCTTCTACCCTCCTCCTTTCTTTTCCATTGACAGCGAATTTATGAAAATAACACCACCAGTACATCACCACTGTAGAAAATGTGAAGAAGATTAAAGAATGCAAAGGAGAAAAAAACACTCACAGATAATCTCACTGTATATGTAGAATCACTATTAATATTTCATTCAGGAATTCCTAGGAATGCCTATTGTATACAGTCTACTCTGCTGGCAGTATAAATACAGAAATGACTAATACATACTATCTGTCCTGAAAGTAGGGCAGAGAAAAGGGATTTTACCAGCCTTATGTAATGTACAGATTCAGAATTCATCTTATATTCTCCATGCTGTTTTAAGTCTTTTTTATAAAGCTTAGTATTAACATAGTTTGTATGATAGGAGAGTGCTTCTGCCTGGCCTTTCTGCACTTCCAAGAGTTACACGTTCGGAAAGTGAAAGCACGTTACCCAACCAGGGCGCCTCAGGAAGGGGGTGGTCTGAGGTGAAGGTTACTTGTGAACACCTTTGCCTTGCTCCACAAGCCTGGCACGTCTCATCTGGGTTCATCTTTTAAGATGTCAAAGTGCTCTGCAATGTTTTACAGTATTTTCCACTAAAAGTGTGTCATGTAAATCAATCATGGCTTCAATTTTCCTGTCAGACTTCAGTAACCTTAAACTGAAGCTTTTAGAATTAATCAAAAGAATAACTCAATTTAATTTTTCATGAGAGAATAACAATATGGGGCTTGTCTTCAACTGTCTCAATTATAAATATTTATTAGTAAATGTTGTTGAATAAATTTTTACAAAAGGAGTTTAAAAGATGGATTTTTTAAAGTCTAGCCTTCTTTTTTACATAAATAGCCAGCTGCTTTTCTTTTTCCACCTGAGGGTAAAGGGAATTGCACCTCCCTTCAGTGGAAACTCAGTGTCTTCACTTGCATAGAAAATTTATTTGTGTATTTATTTAAAGACAGTCTGCCTACTTAAACTGTTAACCTTGTGGGAATGGGCACAGCTCTCTATAGCCCAGTATCTAGCACATTCTAGGTGTTCAATAATTATTTGACAAATAAATAAATATTTATGTATAAGAGTAAGGGAGCTAGGCAGAAGAGTTGTCTTGATTAGTCATTGTCATATAAACAAAAGAAAAATAGGAAATAAAGCTGTAATCTTCCAGGAAGACCCCAAAAATGGTCTTATCATTTAGCCAGCCATTACAAGCTCATTGATAATGTCTTATAGTTTAGGAACTAAATAAGGGAAGTGATATTTTTCTTTACCACTCCTTCCTTTATTTTATAAACCACTTTATTCAGGTGTGATTGGCATATGAAAAGCTGTGCATATTTAATGTATACCTCTTGATGAGTTTAGGGATAAGTATCTACCCATGAAACCATCACTACCATCAAGGCCACAGACATATCTATCACCTTCCAAAGTCTTCTCCGCCACCTTTATTATTATTGCTGTTTTGTTTTGATAAAAACATTTAAGACAACGTCTACCCTGTTAGCAAATTGTAACTATACAATTCAGTATTCTTAGCTGTAGGCACTATGCTGTTCCGAGTGTAAATCTCTAGGACTTATTTATCACAAAATTTTCCCATTTCCATGCGAAACACACAAACAGTTAAAAATTCTCAAAGCTTCCCATCCTACGTTCTTGATATATCCATGGGGAAAATTCATTCATTTATTCATCTAACTATCTACGCACACAGTCTACACATATTTATAGAGCAGCTATTCTCTGCCAGAACTTTGATTAGGCATTAGGAATACACAGACTAATAAGAAGCAGTTAGTCTTTGTCTTCAAAGAGCTCACAGTATCATGGGAAAGAAAGGCACATAAAGAGACAGTTAAAACACCATCAGTTACAGAAATAACTACTGTTATTGCAGGTACAAAGAGGAGGGGAGCCGGCACAAACTTGGGGAGCCACAAAAAAAATTATGGGAAGGCTTCTTGGAGGAGCTATGCCTGAGCTTAACTTTAAAGGGTGAGTAGGATGAAGCTACAAGTTGGGAGAATTCTGAGCTTTCCCATGTAGAGAAAACCACACAAGGCAAAGCAAATAAGTAAGACAGTGCAATGTGGACAGAGAACATGTGAGTGTTAACCATGGAGCCCAGAGACACAAGGCCAGGGGGGTGACAGGAGCTGGATTGTGAAGGGCCTTGTTAATTAAAAACTACTTGAAAATATCAGTTTTAGTAGCTACATAATATTCTATCATATCAGTCAACCACAATCTATGTACTTGTTTTCCTAATATTTTAACATTTAAATCATGTATTTTTTTACTCATTAAATATTTGTGATAACAATTATTGTACACAAACCCTTGTCTACATTCCTATTTACTTAAGAAAAATATATTAGTGGGATGTCTTCAGTTGCAACTAACACAAAAACTGACTCAAAGTGGATTAAAGAATAAAGGAAATGTATTGGATACTATACCTGAAAGTACAGAATAAGAAAAGTTTCAGGGTTGGTCTATCCATCAGCTCAATGATGTCACCAAATGCCTAATTTCTCTCTGTCTCTCTCCCCTGCAACCTCAGAGTAAGCTTCCTCTGAAGGCTAGTTCCCCTGGGGTTATGGAGTAGCTGCCAGCAGCAATCACAGCTGTGCGACTTCTCGACTTTGTCCAATGGGAGAGTCAAACAACTGTTAAACAGGAGGCTGCAATTGCTCTTCCATCCTGAGCCAATTCCAGAGGCCACACAATGCCGTACACTGATCAAAGGCTCAGGTTAGGATATCTAAGCCGGTATAGGTTTCTGTTTCATCAATTTTTAATGTTCCCATAGATAATCAAAAAATATGAATACATAATTTCCAAATGAGGAAATAAAAAAAGATAGCAAATGCCAAAAGAAAAAAATTTCCTCATAACAAACCGAGGATTTTTCCATGGCTTCTCTGTTTAAAAACAAGCCAACAATAAAGGAATGCTGTTTTCCTTAAAGTTTGATAGATATTTTCTGAGACTGTCTCTGATCTTTGTACCATAAAAACTGTTTTTAAAACGCTCATTGTGATAATTAAAATAATACAAATAAACAGTGAATGTTTTCCTCCCCCAAGAAAGATACGTATTTATTGAGACTCATTTCTAGAATATACAAATATATGTATGTTTATGAAAAAATGACACAATACCTTATGTATGTTACGTAATTTTCTTTTTTAACTAAAATGTTTCACTTCACAATAACATAACATTTTATTGTCAATTCATACAGAATGACCTGATTCTTTTTAACAGCAACATATTCCATTATATGCATCCATACTTTCTTTAGCTACTCTCACTTTGATAGACTTTTAGGTTGTTTAAAAACATAAGCACCTACAAGAGGCAATTTTAAAATTTAGTCTAGGTTTTTATGCAGTTAAAGAAGATAATTATATACATATTTAATATTACATAATTTATTTTCTTTATTGATTAATTCACTCTGGAGCCAATGTACTGCTAGAGGAAAGCAGTATCCTATAGACAGCCTTATGGAGAAAAGGATAACATCCACTCTTATGAAAAAGGGGTATGTTTTCCAAAACAGAGGTGGAGATATATGTCAGGATTAAAATAGTCTGGCATGAGAACACACCTTCATTATTCACCAAAAATAATGAATTAGTAAAGGGATTACCTATCTTGAGTTATGTTTTAGTATTACTATTATACATGCAACATGTTTAAGTAAATTGTTTGACAATTCATGTATTTATTTGTAAACAGGTTCCTAATTACTGTGTGCATCAGGAATTATGTCAAAAATTGCTTATTTCCATTCTTCAATAAGGGAGTCAAAATAGTCATTGTGTTCAGCTGCCTCTGGGTTAGCCCTCACAACTTTACTTACTATAAACATTATGAAGACAATCACCCTTATAAAGTTGCTGAAACCAGTTCTTTTTATTCCCCAAAGAAATAGTCTACCATCATTTACTTTCTCTAACCCTGGTTTCAGAAGCTCAAAGCAGTAGCAACATCAACTGACCTAGACTTTTATTCAATTTCTCTTACCTGTCACCCCTCTGATGGTAGTGACCATGAGCACATGCATGAACCAGAAGTAAATCAATCTTCAGATGAAGGGAAAGAAACAGAAACCTAAAAATCAGTGTCTGCATGAAGAAAACATTGTCATTTAGAAAGGTGTTTGTTCATGGTGTAAAGATTTGCAGAGTTATTTTATACATCCTCGTTGTTATGTTTTCCAATAGCAATGTAATGTAATTGAATAAATACCCGAACAAATATGAATTTGCTAATTTTTGTAGTATTCCTTATCAAACAAAGTACTAAGCCCCAAGTTTTATTGAAACATTTGGTATGTTGTCCTAATTTTAAAATTTGTTTGTTCTTTGCAGGTAGAACTAGATGAAGGATACAAGTATGAATAAAATGTTAAACTACTCACAATTTCTTTGAAACAATGCAGGTGTATTGAATATTCTGCATATTCCCAGCTATGCAGCACTGCCTCCCTCAATTCATATTCCTTTTTGTGCTTCAAAGACTTGTTTAGGTCATTCTTCTAATTATGTTTATATTGTAGACTTGCTTATCCTGTGACAGCATTATGAGTGGTTATCACATTCTAAAATGCCAGATACTTCTTAATTGTAATGGTGCCTACTTTTTTATTGAAACTATTCATATTTTATTACTGTAAACAACTTTGATCATAATGATGCCATTCAAAAGAGCTGATCAAGCTGAGAAAAATGACAGTACAGTCGTAAAGTCACTCTATACGTAGCTATTAACATTTTATAGTGTATACAAGGAAAAGTGTTTTAAGTTGCAACCATAGACAAATAAGAAAATTAATTTTAAACATAATCCTATGTTTTTAAGATTGGAAATAGTCTACTTAAATAATTATTGCCAACAAATACTTTTACATTTCAACACATGACCTTCAATACAAAAAACAACATATAGTGGATTGTGCATTAGAGAAATTCAAATCATCTTACTTTGCCAGGGTAGAAAACAAGGTCTTTCATTCCTAGAAACAAATAAGAAAGAAACACATCATAACCTCACTTCAAAGCTATTCTCTGGTTACATTCCAGAAGCGACAAGGTTATAGATGAGGAGTTTTAAGAGACACATTCTTACGGCACTTCTAGGATATAACACTCTCTTCAAATGAAATCAAAGACACTTACTGGGTCCCTACTATGTATGTGATGTGTTGCAAAGTATGGCAGAGAACATGGCCTGTGACATAAGGAAGCCTATAATCGAGTTGAGGAGAGATGAGATAAACACATGAACAATTAAATACTAGAATCTCAATTCCACAAATATTTAAATAACAGTATGACAACAATAGAAGCAATACAAGGCCATGTGTATACCTAATGGCCAAGAAAACTAAAGACAAACAGCCACTGCTGGAATTCAGAGGGAGAGTTCTAGGTTGGGGTGGTGAAATAATTTTTTATAAAGGAATTCTTTAGCTGGGTCTTGAAAGACTGGTAATAATAACGTTGCATGTTTGCTTAATGTTTTGTAAGGTGTTGGAAAGTATTTGAAGCTGTAGGACAAACATGACTTATCTTTCTGTAGTATCAATTTTAGTTAGAATATTTTAAAACATATAAAAATAAACAGGGATTGACTATTACTATTATTCATTATGTAAACCATCAATAATGGTGACTAAAATTGTGAATCACTTTGGTCTTGGCAATGACTAAGTGCTACACATATATGTTATTGCTTATCATGGAATCTGTCACTTATAATGAAATTGAAACTTTTATTTTCACAGAGAAATAATGGGTCTAAGAGATTTTATAGGTTGCTGTAAAATATATTTTCTCCTTCTTGGGATATCTTTTGCTCAGGAAGCATGGCTAGTCAGGTGGTTTCACTGACATAATTGGCTTTGATTCTCATGACAATCACTGTGTAAGAAGCACAGGGTTTAAAGATGAACAAAGTAAAGCTCAATCTCTTAGTGGCTAACCAAGGTTCATTCAGATAAGAGTTGTCTAATGACTCAAAGTACAGTGCTTCTACTCTAATGGCAAATGAACTCAGGCCAAGGTAGGTGATACAGTGGATTGCAGTGGGGCTGGGGGTGAAACAGTAGGTAGAGATGACAGAGAACTGGACAATATCCTCCTAAAGGCATGTAGATTCAACAAAGAAATTTCAAGCCCTGGAGAGCAGGATGGGGTGGGGTCAAGGGGAACTTTGAGATTTATTTAAATTGTTTGTTAAAAATTTACAGATGGGAGTGGCTTCAAGATGGCTGACTGAAAGCATCCAGCACTCATCTCCTCCACAAAGAACCAAAATAGCAAGTAGATAATCATACTTCAAATACAGCGTCTAAGAGAGAACACTGAAATTCAATAGAGAAATGACAGGAAAGAACTGAGGCGTGGAAGGAGAAGGAAGTGAGCAGCCAACTCGGCCAGGATCATCTGAGAGCCCAAAGATAATCCCCAGTGTGGGGAAACAGTAAGAGAGAACCCAGAAGTCCATATTCCTATCATAGATTCCTGCAACCCAAGCCATGGGAGAGCCTCATGATCTTTGTGGGCCCTGAAATTAGCGTAAGGAGCTGCCTGGGAGCCATGAACAGCATTTCTCCAGAGAGGGAGCTCATACAGGGTTCCACACACCCCCAAAGTCTTAAGCAGCTGCAGCATGGTGTCATTTTGAGAGCCCAGCCCCCACCAGACTGCAACCTCCCATGAGACCCAATAGGCCCTGCATCTCCATATCCCTGGAGCCCCACTGATATTCCCTCTTGTCTTCCTGGAAGGCTATAGTGGCACAATGCTAGTTGCATCCAGCAGAGCAGCAGGATCCCCAGCTAGCACAAACAACGTTGTGCACCCCATTGAAGGGATGGTGCCATGCACTGAGAGGCTGTCTCTGGGACAAAGGGAGCCAAAGCATGTGTTCTTCAGAGACTTAAACCTGCCTGCCTGAGTCCACTGCCACTGATAGCAATCTTCTTCCACCAGCAGCAGGGCTGCTGCATTCTTGCACACTCCCTGAGAACAGAATCTCCTTGCTCACAACAACCACCACTGCTGTTACTAGGGACAGAAGCACATGCTGCTAGTAGTGACACCCTTGTCCCACCACCAGCAGCAGGGCCTTGCATATTTGCACATGCCAAAGGGCTGGCTATCCCATCCTCTGCCACCAGTGTTGCCATCACCCAAGCACTCTGCTGGGGACCTGGGATCACTCTGGCCTGCCTACAACAGCCTGCACCTGTGCACACCACCAGGGGGCCTGAAGACAACCCCAGCTGGCCATATACCATCCGATCCTAGTGCCCAAGCTTGCTACCTGGGAGCCTGGGGATCACTGCAACCCACCGACCACCACTGATATCTGAGCACTCCTCCCAGAGGCCCAAGGATAGTCCCAACCAGCCTGCCACTATGATAGCCAGCACCCAACTACATGCACGACCTGGGAACATGGGAACTGGTTGCCTTGCCCATTGCAGCCAATGCTAAAACCAGCATGTGCTGCTTGGGAGCCCAAGGTTTGTCCCATCACTACTACTACTATCATCCATGCCACACTCGCTGCCCAGGGGCTCAAGGACCCCTCCATCCACTTGACCCACTGTTGTCCACTGTCAGCACCCAAGCAAGCTGCTTGGAAGCCCAAGAATTGGCCTGCTAGAAACTGCTTACAACAGCGCCTATGTATACTGCCTGCAAACCCAAAAACAGGCACAGTTGGCCTGCTGCTTCCACCACTGGGGCCTGACATTCACATTCCTAGAAAATCCTCACCACAGCCTCCACTAATAACCACACCCTAAGCCACTGAGGAAGTCACAGACAGCACTGAAGCTATTTACAGTGAAAAAATAACATGGAGACTATACTACTGCATGCACCCAGAATCAAAGCTAAAGTACCCTACCAAACTAACACCATGGATAGAACTTCAACAAAAAGTCTCCCCCAGTGAGAGCCAATCCAACAAGTTGGAAGAAGCAACTGTTATACCACATACACAGATATAAACATCAGGACACAAGAAAATGAAAAAGCAATCAAATATGAAACCTCGAAGGGATCATAATAATTCTCCAGCAACAGATTTCAATGAAAAAGAAATTTATGAGATCCTAGAAAATGAATTCAAAATAATGATCCCAATTAAAGAAGCTCAGTGAGATACAAGAGAAAATAGTTAAGCAATACAAAGAAATCAGGAAAGCAATTCAGGATATGAATGAAAAATTCACCAAAGAGACAGATACTGTAAAAAAGAATCAAACAGAAATCATAGAACTGAATAATTCAATGAATAAAATTAAAAACATATTTGAAAGCTTCAACAATAGATTAGATCAAGCAAAAGAAAAAATTTAAGAACTTGAAGTGAGGTCTTTTAAAATAACCAGAGTCAGAAAAAAAATAAAGAATTAAAAAGAAGGAACAAAGCCTACATTACATATGGGACACCATAAGGTAACTATTTAAATTTTGGGTATTTGGGAAGGTAAAAAGGCCAAATACATAGAATACCAATTTAACAAAATAATAGCTGAAAATTTCCCAAGTATAGCAAGATATTTAGACATCCAGATATAGGAAACTCAGAGAATCCCAAATACATGCAACTCAATATGTCTTATCCATGGCACATTATAGTCAAACTGTCAAAAGTCAAGGACAAAAAAAGAATTCTCAAAATAGCAAAGAGAAAAGCACCCACCCCCACATCAGATTAACTACAGATTTCTTAGCAAAAATGTTATAGGCCAGGAGAAAATAGAGTGATTTATTCTAAGTGATAAAAGAAATCTGCTGCAAGCCAAGAATCCTATACTCAAGTTATCATTCATAAATGAATGAAAAATAAAGTCTTTCCCAGCCAAGCGAAAACTGAGGGAATCATCACCATTAGACCAGCCCTACAAGAAATGCTTAAAGAAGTCTCACACCTGAAAGCAAAAGGATATCTACCATCATGAAAACACATGAAAACATAAAATTCACTGGTAGAGCAAAAACACAACTGAGGAAGAGAAAAAACTCAAATGTTACACCACGGAAAACAACCAAACCATAATGATAAACAACAAGAGAGAAAGAAAAGAAGGGCATGCAAAACAATCAGAAAACAATGAACAAAATGACAAGAATAAGTCCCCCTAAGTCAATAAAAAACTTGAATGTAAGCCGATTACATTTTACACTTAAAAGATATATACTGGCTGAATTAGCCAGGCATGGTGGCATGCACCTTGGGAGGCCGAGGAGGGTGGATCAGTTGAGACATGGAATTCAAGGCTATAGTGAACTATAATTGCACCACTGCAGTCTATCCTGGGCAACAAAGTGAGACCCTATCTCAGCAATAATAATAATCATCATCATCATCATTAAAGATATAAATTAGAGGAATGGATAAAGAAAAATATGGCAGTTATATATTGCCTACAGGAAACTCATTTTACCTGTAAAGACACATATAGACAGAAAGTAAAGAGGCAAAAAAAGATATTCCATGGAAATGGAAACCAAAAGTAAGTAGGAGTAGTTATATAAAACAGACTTTAAGTCAAAAACAGAAAAAGTGTACAAAGAAGGTCATTATATAATGATAAAGGAATTAATTCATCAAGAGGATATAACAATTCTAAATACGTATGTACCCAACAATGGAGTACCCAGATATATAAAGCAAATATTACATCTAAAGAGAGAGACAGACTCCAATACAATAATAGCTGAGGACTTCAACACCACAATCTCAGCATTAGACACATCACCTATACAAAGAATTAACAAAGAAACATTAGATTTAAACTACACTTTAGACCAAATGGACCTGAGAAACATCTGCAGAACATTTTATCCAATAGCTGCAGAATACACATTTTTCTAATTAGCTTATAGAATATTCTCTAGGATAGATCATATGGAAGGCAACAAAATGTCTCAAAATATTTAGAAAATCGAAATCATACCAAGTATCATCTCAGACCACAATGGAATGAAATTGGAAATCAATAACAAGAGGAACTTTGGAAACTGTACACAAACATGAAAATTAAACAACATGCTCCTGGATGACCACTGGGTAAATGAAAAAATTAAGAAAAAAATTTTAAAAAAATTGAAACAAATGAAAATGGAAGCACAATCTACTAAAAGATATGGGACATTGCAAAAGCAATGTTAAGCAGGAAGTTTATAGCAATAAATGCCTACATCAAAAAAGTAGAAAGATTTTGGCTGGATGCAGTGGCTAACACCTGTAATCCTGATAGTTTGGGAGACTTAAGCAGAAGAACTGCCTAGGGCCAAGAGTTTGAGACCAACCTGGGTAACACAGGAGAACTCTCTCTACAAAATAAATAAATAAATACAAATTTTTTTAAGTATAAAGATGTTAAGTAAACAATCTAACAATGCATCTCAAGGAATCAGAAAAGCAAGAACAAACCAAGCCCAAATTAGTAGAAGGAAAGAAATAATAATGATCAGAGTAGAACTAAATGAAATAGAGACTAAAAAACACACACACACACACACACAAAATCAATGAAATGTAAAGTTGGTTTTCTGAAAAGGTAAAATCAATAAATCACTAGCTAGATTAACCAAGAAAAAAAGAGAAGAACCAAATAAACAAAATCAGGAATAAAAATGGAGACATTACAAATGATACACAAAAACACAGATTATTTGAGACAATTATAAACTGTATGCTAACAAACTGGAAAACCCGGAGGAAATGGATAAATTCCTGGATACATACAACCTACCAAGATTGAGCCAGGAAGAAACAAAAGCTGAACAGACCAATAACGAGGAATGAGATTGAATCAATAACAAAATCTTTCCCAACAAAGCAAAGTCAGGAACCAGATGGCTTCACCACCAAATTCTACCAAACTTAAAGAATTAACACCAATTCTCAAAAAAATTACAAATTAAAAAAAAAATTACAAATTAAAGGCCAGGCACAGTGGCTCACCCATGTAATCCTAGCACTTTGGGAGGCCAAGGCAGGTGGATCGCTTGAGCTCAGGAGTTTGAGACCAGTCTGGGCAACATGGCGAAACCCTATCTCTACAAAATATATAAAAATTAGCTGGATGTGGTGACATGTGCCTGTAGTCCCAGGTACTTGAGAGGCTGAGGTGGGAGGTTGGCTTGAGCCCAGGAGGTAGAGGCTACAGCAGTGACCTGCATTCCAGCCTGGGTGACAGAGCCATACCCTGAAAAAAAAAAAAAAAAAAAGAAAAGAAGAAAGAAAGAGAACCCAACATCTAATCAATCACAAATATTAAAGAGGTATTGTATAGCCAGGTACAGTGGTTCACACGTGTAATCCTAGCACTTCAAAAGGCTGAGGTGGGCAAATTGCTTGAGCCTAGGAGTTTGAGATGGGCTTGGACAACGTGGTGAAACCCTGTCTCTACTAAAAATACAAAAATTAGCCCAGCATGCTGGTGCATACCTGTAGTCCCAACTATTCAGGAGGCTGAGCCTGGAGGATCATTTGAGCACAGGATGTGGAGGCTGCAGTGAGCCATGATTGTACCACTACATTCCAGCCTGGGTAACAAAATGAGACCCTGTATCAAAAAAAAAAAAAAAAAAAAAAGAAGTATCTTACATTCTTTTAAAAATATTGTCTTCAAAATCTTATGTGCATTTTGCACTTACAGCACATCTCATTTCACACTGTTCATATCTCAATTTACAAAAAAAAATATAGTTTTTTATTTGGGAAGACAGGAGGCCTCACTATGTCGCCCAGGCTGGCTCAAACTCCTGGGCTTAGATGATCCTCCTACCTTGGCTTCCCAAAGTGCTGGGATTACAAATGTGAGCAGACTTGGCCTCAAATGTTCAATAACCACATGTGGCTGGTGGCTGCCGTACTAGGTAGTGCTGTTCTAGCATATTAACTATGAATGATTTTTAAAGTTAGAAGAAATAATTCTATGTGAATATAAAATAAAATCACATCCACAGGTTACCTCTACAAAACAACACATGCATGCATACTGTCAAACATATGGACTTATTATTAGCTGAGAATAAAAACAGTATCTTGCCCCTTCAGGATGCTGCTGTAAGGCAAGCATAAATTAATCCATGAAAAGTGCTTAGAACATCCAAGTACCACACCATAAGCACGATTAAATATTAGTTACTATTATCATTAGATAATCTGCTTTGACATTTTTCCACTACTGCTTATTTCTGCTCATCCATTCATGTTATTATCTGCTAGCAAGTTTCTTGTGAAATAGAAGAAAGGCAATAACAGCTACCAAAGGTTTAAGAAAAATGCTTTGGGGCAGGTTGCTTAGTGTGGGAGGATCAAAAATAAATACTTGCAATTAAAAAAAAAACACCACATCTCCTCAAACTATTCCAATAAAATTGACGAGGAGTAAATTCTCCCTAACTTGTTTTATGAGGCCTGTAATACCCTGACACCAAAATCAGATGAGGACATGACAAAAAAAGAAAACTACAGGCTAATATCCCTGATGAATATACAGACAAAAATTCTCAACAAAATACTAGCAAATTGAGTTCAACAGGACATCAGAAAAAAAATATATCATGAGCAAGTGGAATTTATCCCAGGGATGAAAAGATGGTTCAACATATGCAAATCAATGAGCATAATACATTACATCAACAGCATGAAGGACAAAAGTCGTATGATCATCTCAATAGCTGCAGCAAAATTATTTGATAAAATTCAACAGTTTTTCATGATAAAAACTGTCAACAAACTAGAAATATAAAGAAAATGTCTCAATATAATAAATCCCATCTATGACAAACTCACAGCTAACAGCGTACTGAATGGGGGAAAGCTGAAAGCCTTTCCTCTATGAACTGGAGCATGACAGGGATGCCTACTTTCTTCACTCCTACTCAATATTGTACTGGAAGTTTTAGCCAGAGTAATGAGGCAAGAAAAAGAAATAAAAGACATTGAAATTGGAAAAGAGGAATTCAAACTTTCCCGTTTTTCTGATGGTATGATCTTATATTTAGAAGTACCAAAGACCCCACCAAAACACTCTTATAATATGATCAACAAATTCCGTAAAGTTGCATGATGCAAAGAACACACAACAATTAGTAGCATTTCTATACACAAATAATTAAATAGTTGAAAAAGAAATCAAGAAGGCATCCCATTTATGATAGCCACAAAAAATAATAAAATACCTATGAATAAATTTTACCAAGGAGGTAAAAGACCTTTTCAAGGAAAACTACAAAATA
This sequence comes from Homo sapiens, assembly GCF_000001405.40. Classification (NCBI taxonomy): domain Eukaryota; kingdom Metazoa; phylum Chordata; class Mammalia; order Primates; family Hominidae; genus Homo; species Homo sapiens. The sequence goes on from NC_000002.12 coordinate 58,347,287, forward strand.
CTGATGAAATAAACTGCAGAGGACACAGACAAATGTAAAGGCATCCCATGCTCATAAATCAGAAGAATTAATCTTGTTAAAATGAACATACTTCCCAAAGCCATTTACAGATTCAATGCAATCCTTATCAAAATACCAATGTCATTTTTTAGAGAAATAGAAAAAAATTCTTAAGTATGTATAGAATCCAAAATTAGCCTGAATAGCCAAAGCAATTTTGAGAAAAGAGAACAAAGCTGAAGCTATCACACTATCTGACTTCAAAATATAATACAAGGCTACAGTAACCAAAACAGCATGGTGTTGGTATAAAAACAGATACATAGACTAATGGAACAGAACAAAGAACAGAGAAATAAATCCACATATTCACTGCCAACTGATTTTCTACAAAGGCACTAAGAATATACACTGAAGAAAAATATCCTCTTCAATAAGTGGTGCTGGGAAAACTGAATAACCATATGCAGAATAAAACTAGGCCCCTCTCTCTCACCATATAAAAAAATCAACTCAAAGTGGATCAGACACCTAAACATAAGACTGAAAACTATAAAACCACTAGAAGAAAACATAAAGTAAACACTACAGAACATTGGACTGGGCAAAGAATTTATGGCTAAGATTTCAGAAGCACAGCCAACAAAAACAAAAATAGACAAACAGGACTACATTAAATTAAAAAGCTTCTGCACAGCAAAGGAAACAATCAACAGGGTTAAGAGACAACCTGTTGAATAGGAGAAAATATCTGTAAACCATTCATTTGACAGGAGACTAATATTCAGAATATACAAGGAACTCAAACTCAACAACAGAAAAACAAATAGTCCTGTTAAAAAAAAGTGAAGGATATAAATACACATTTCTCAAAATGTTGACATACAAATAGTCAACAGGTATATTTTTAAAATGTTCAACGTCACTAGTCATCAGGAAAATGCAAATCAAACTCACAATGAGATATTTTCTTACCCCAGTTAGAATGGCTATTAGTGAAAATGCAAAAAACAGATGCTGGCGAGAATACAGAGCAAGAGGAACTCATTCACTGTTGGTGGGAATGTAAATTGGCATAGCCATTATAGAAAACAGTATAAAGATTTCTCAGAAAGCTAAAAATAGATCTACCAGATGATCCAACAATACCTCACCTGGGTATTTATCCAAAGGAAAATAAATCAGTATAACAAAAGAATACATACATCCCTATGTTTATTATAGCATTATTCACAATAGCAGAGTTATGGAATCAACCTAAGTGTTCATTAACAGATAAATGGATAAAGAAAATGTGGTATGGAATGTGGTACACAATGGAATACTATTCAGCTATAAAAAATAATAAAATCTTGTTGTTTGGAGAAACATGGATGGAAGTGGAGGTCATTATGTTCAATGAAATAAGCCAGGCACAGAAAGACAAATACTGCATGTTCTCACTCATATGTGGGAGCTAAACATAGTTGATACCGTGGAGGTAGAGAGAAGCATGATAATTACCATAGGCTGGAAAGGGTGTGTGGGGAGGAGGAAGGATAGAGAGTGTTTGGCTAATGTATACAAACATACAATTAGATAGAAGAAATAAGTTCTAATGTTCAATAGTAGAGCAGCATGGCTGGTTAATAACAATATACTGCATGTTTCAAAATAGCTAGAAGAGAGGACTTGAAATGTTCCCAACACATAAAAATGATAAATGCTCAAGGTGATAAATACCCTAAATACACCAACTTGATCATTACACATTATATACATATTACAAAATATCACAGGAACCTCATAAATATGTACAAACATTGTGTTTCAAAAATTTTTTTCGAAATTAATTGATGGTTATTTATGTCATAAAAATAGTTAAGCAAACAAAGTTCCTAAAAATAATCAAACAGACAAACAAAATCCTGGGATGGCAAACAAAACCTTATGGTTTTTAGGCCATCAGTTAATTTCTGCCACTTGCTACCTGTTTGTTATAGGACAGGGACAGGATCAAAGAAGGGGAGTAGAACCTGCAGGTAGATTCACATGAGTGAAGTTACGAGGCATTGACCTACAAGACGTGTGACAGCCCCTGATGTGCCTGTTCTCTGCATGGTCTGTCATATCCCCCTGGCTGGACTGCTCTCTGCTCTCCCCCATCTGCTCTGATCGGTCAAGATCAGTTGTAATCTTCCCTCCTGAAAGCTTTCCTCAATATGGATTTCACTTGCTGTGTTAAATGATGTGGTTTTTACATTGACTTCCAAGATTTGCTGTTAATTTCATTCATGATAGTTGTTTCTCTCAATGATTATTTTATTAATTCACTCATTCAATATGCTCTTATTGGATGCCTCTATTGGAATTACGACTATAAAAAAGACAAGTCTGTATGACAATCTGTATTCAATGTGCGAGTAGGTACACAGAAAGTGCTCACTCTGCTCACTACTATTTGAAGAACTCATAAAGGATTTCTCAACCCCCAACATTATCAACATTTTGAGCTGGATAATTCTTTGTTGTGGGGGCTGTTCTGTGCGTTGTAGGATAGTTAGCAGCATCGCTAGTCTCTAATCACTGTATATGAGTAGCAACTCCCCCCCACCCTAGTTGTGACAAGCAAATATGTCTCCAGACATTGCCAAATATTCCTGGGGACAAAATTGCTCCAGTTGGGAACCACTGGAATAATAATTTTGAAAGGATCCAAGTAAAAATAATGTAACATCAAACACCTTTTGGTAACAAGTTATAACAAAATTCAGGTGTGGGAAATACAACCACAAAAAGAGGCCTTTGAATCAGCAAAAAATACATTTTTATTGGAAAAGGTGGTTTCAAATAAGTTTGAGGAAATTGTGAAGATTTGGAATATTTTTGAATATATTAAAAAATTGAAAATTTCTCAGGGTAGAAATTTTTTTAATCTAGTTTCTCTAAGTTTATTTGCCTAAGTAATACCTTTTATTTTTTAAACAGTACTTATTAACTTTGAATTCTAACCCATTAAACATGCTTTGAAAAATTCTATACTCTGTGTTCATTATACAACTATTACTGGTTGGATTGATACATTATAGACATTGCTATCCCATTATCTACCTCTGATAAGATATCCCCTTAAGAACATCAATGATACTAGTCAGGACCCTGATAACTAGCAAGGAGAAATAGGGACATTGTTTTAGGCCAGTGGTCTCAAAATTTAGAGTGCATCAGAATCACATGGAAGGCTTGTGATAAGAGATTTCTGATTTAATAGGTCAGGGTGGTGCCTGAAAATTTGTATTTCTAACTGTTCTGCAGGTCATGCTGATCCTGCTCATCCAGAGATTTCACTTTGAGAACCACTGTAAAGTATAATGAGAGCATCAAACCAAGTTACAGTTTCTATTTAGAGAAAAAACCTTTCTTGGTCTTTTGATGTGGCTAAACCTTACGACTGCTGACTGTTTCAGAAAGCCACAGAGTAGGGACCACAGATAAAGATGAGCCTTTATAACAGAAATGACAGTAAGTAGCCCATGGATAAATGTTGGTGGCACTTTTCTCTTACATTGGTATCGCATACTGGATATCTCTCAGTAATTGGGGGCCTACTGCATTTAGATGTTCAGAGCTTTGTACAACAGGCTGAACAAATTATAAGTAAGTCTTAGATATCTTATCTGCCCTCAATGAATTTATAGGATACTTTAGAGCCACTTAACAATACAAAACAGCATAATGTAAAGGCAAAATTAATAGAACAGAAAATGAAGAAGAGAGGGAGAAATGATCTCACATCATTAATACCACTCACGCCTGTAATCCCAGCACTGTAAGGGGGCCGAGGAGGGCTGGTCAGTTCGAGACCAGCCTGACCAACATGGCGAAACCTTGTATCTACTAAAAATATAAAACAATTAGCCGGGCGTGGTAGTGGGTGCTGAGGCAGGAGAATTGCTTGACACAGGAGACAGAGGTTGCAGTGAGCCCGATAATGGTGCCACCGCACTCCAGCCTGGGCGACAGAGCGAGACTCCGTCTCAGAAAAAAAAAAAAGCAAGCTGAGACGTAGAGTGTAAGTAACACGCCCCAGGTGTCTATCTTTGTTAGGCAACAGAGCAGGGAGTCAAATCGAGGTGTATTTAACACAGAGCACAATGTTATTTCCTCATTGTTCACTTGCAACTGTTTTTCTTGAGCTGCTTTCTCTTCCTCATCCTCTTTTTATAAACTAACCTTTGTTTTTGTTTAGTAAATAAAAATGTTTGAAACCCAGCATGTTAGCATATTAGCTAAATATGGTCTATACTAGAATCTCACTGCACCAACTTTAAGACTCAATGAAAAGATAAAGTTTATCCATGTGGAGCTGACCTAAAAGAATAAGAAGACAACAGTGGTTTATCTTTTAAAATATTTTTCAGTTTAATATGCCCTTTATTTGATATGTTAAGCAATTTTAGTGTACTAATATGTTTCAATACCAAACTATATAGATGCATGAAAACTATAGAGAAAAAACCCTAAATAAATCAGTAGCACTAAAGGACATGGTAAGCAATAATTATAGAAAGATTAAGAATTTTAGAGCTTAGAAAGAAATGAATGAGAGAGAATTAAACATTTTGTCCATGTTAAGATTGCGTGACTGTTTTATGAAAGTAATCAGGTATACCTTCAGAGTTAGAAGAGATCAAATAGAACAGAGATGTGCCCTATATAGGAAGATTTTTTTCTATTCAGTAGATTCTTGTATCCTGAGAATTGGGTTCATATGAGTTTCATAAAGACTTCTCTACTGCATTGCTTTTCACAATATAAAGTGCGTCAGCATTGTCTAATAGACTTGTTAAAACATAGATTGTTGGGCTCAACCCCCAGAATTTCCAATTCAGAAGGTCTAGTTAGGATCAAGAATTTGAATTTTTAAGAAGTTCCCAGGTAATGCTGGGTGCTAATAGCCAGGGACCACATTTTGAGAACTATAACTCTAGCAGTGGCAGCTCCTTGCATCCTGTTTTCACACATCACTCTCTCTCACCCCTTTCCAGAGGAGAGATCCTGCCTGGGGTCTGCTCTTTACATAAACTGCCTCTCCTAATTTTGCCTTTTGGTCTTCTTTTTCATGAAAGTCAGACAGCCACTTTTATTCTCTGATGCTCACAGAGGCAGGATACATTGAAATTAGAACTAGATTGAGATTCTGGTGATGGGGTTTAGCCCTACACCTGCCACTAATTGCTTAGATATCAGTTACTTCATGTTTTAATTGAGGGATTGGGACTCTTTGATCCCTCAGGTATCTTTCAACTACTGATCCCTCAGGTATATTCAACTAGTTGATCCTTCAGGTATATTTCAAGTACGTTTCTCCTCCCTGAATAGAATGTTATGCCTCAGTGGGCACAAGAAAAATATTAAACATTTTCGGTGGCATGTGGTGATCTCTTAGGCATTTGTGCTCCTGTCCCATGTCTAAGGAGAACTCCACTTCACTATGGGGAAGTGGCTACAGTGCTCTGGGACTCACAGCCCTTGGTCTTTGGCCCTGGTTCTGTGTTTGAGCAACCTTCTCTGAGTCTCAGCTTCCTCATCTAAAAATTCATGGACATGCATTCTATATATTATACAGATAAACAATCTATATAATAACTTTAGTTCTAGCTTCTGCTGACCACCTTAAAATTAATATGTGTCTATTATATGCCCATGTGGTAAATGACTTACATTAGTAAAACGTAAAAATGCTACATGTGATCTACCCCTGTGGTATTTTGTCAGTGAGCGGGTCCTTACTTATGAAGGGGAATAAATGTGTCATGCTATAATTTCAGATATTAATGGCTCATTGTGCTATGGTGATGCTACTTTCAGAAACACTTTCTCCCATACCCTTTAAGCAACAGAACAAATCACCTATCCTACATGTAATAAGTACCAAGTCTTACTGCGTGAACAATAATGGAGCCTGGATACAGATCATTTATTTCGTTTATTCTCCATTCTATCTTTTCTGATCGTAGTGAAAAAGGAGTTAAAGCAAGTCTACTTTGGCCCTGGTTAGGAGCTGCAGGGAAATATGTGCACCACCTTTGTTCCCTTAGTAAGTGTAAGTTATAGACTCAGGAATGGACTGAGTTAAAAAGGAAACCTGATAAATGAAATTCTATATTTAATATTTGTAATTTTTAATATTTGTCTACAATCAGTTGCCAAATACAATTCCTTTTGTCTGGAAAACAAGTTGGAAGGTCCCTACTATAATTGTGTCACAGTAGTCATGATGATGTGAATGCATTTCTTTTATTACATATTCACCTAGTGAATGTGGGATTGCACCTTTATTCTTCAAGGAAGCAGCAGAACCCCATGAAAAGAGCATTGGCCTGGATGTCAGGAGAGCCAGGAACGCAGGGTTGAGATTGTTGTTTGGATAAGATATCTTTTTTAAAAATTACCTCGAGGTTGTATTTTATCCTTCAATTAAATAGAAACTGATAAGTTAGAAGTTGAGCTCAGAGAAGAGCATGGCCCTTTGAGCCCACGGAAGTAACTTTGGAGATTTCTACAGAGGTCAATACAAGGGTGAAGAGAGCATCAGGGTTAAAAACATTCAAGGCAAATATACTGGCACTTGTGTGAAAAGAAGGAAATCAGTAAGGTTCATTGACACTGAGGACATAAAAAGTAAAGTGCCATAAAAGAGAGTCAGAGACAAGATCATCAAGTAGTTAAAGAAACTCTTCCACTGACAATAGGAGACTAGCAGAAGTAAAGGCAAAAGAGCTGAAAACATCAATCCTGGTATCAGAAGAAGGCTACTTTCCAATAGTCATTCGCTTCTCTTTTCAAAATGCCTTTCATACATGCATCATCTTTTACAAGCGTGAGTGAGGAAGTGCTTCGCAGGTGTTAGCTAAGTCAGGAGGTTAATGGTCTGAGTTCCGTTTTCTGAATCTCTGATTCACAGGCTACCCCATTCCTGATGGAAGAAGTAGGGTGAGCTCAGCCCCGATTAGTGTGCAGCCTTTCCTAACTTTCAACAGCCATGAAATTGATTTTTTTGTAAGCCTTCTATAACCATGATTGTACTTTCACCAGGCAAGTATCTTTGCAAACTAGATGACAAAATAAAAATATGTTGTTTTATAACAAATTAAGCTGATGCAGCTTAATTTGTTAAAGTTCCTAATTATTTGGACACATACTGTCATACACAAATAAGTTAACTAAAAATGAATTAGCAATTACTCATTGGGAGTGGGCCAATGATAAAATAAAATTTAAAAAATCTTTAAAGCAATTTTATTTTTAAACTATGAGAACTTGAGATTAAAATAATCTAATACATTAACTTTTATAGTAGACTGTACAATATATTGACTACTGAGAGGTCTACAATGTTTAGTGTATAATGAATAAAGCAACTTTTGGACCTTGCGTTTATCCTATAGTTGGTGACCTAGAACACTTGGTTTCATAAACAAGTGAGTCATTTAAGCTATTTCCATTTCAGGCTTTCAATACACATATCAGGGCTGAGTTTATTGGCATGAATTCATCTTTAAGTTTTTTAAGTTTAAAACTGAAAATTTATTTCCAGGACCAGGATTTGGTTGGCAATGTTGAGCCACAAAAGCTGAAAGAGTTTGAATTGAGAAAACATGGAAAATTATGGAAAATCTCAGCACCAGGGAAAAGGTAGATCTTAGAATTCATCAGCTTTTCTTGACAATCCTCCTCACCCCAACAACTACCTGTTCAGGTACATCAGGTATTTTACTAGCACACAGTGAGCTTCAATTCACAGACTAGAATTCAGACACAAGCTTTCAGTACTTTGTGGGAAAAGAAATATAGAGCAAGGATCCATTCTTAGATGTCCACAGAATGTAGGCAGAGATTAAGTAACAAGAAGGGTATCAGAGAGCAACTCAGAATTTACATGGAAATTGTGGTAATGAATCTGGGCATTGGTTACAAGAAGGAGCAAGATCTTCCACTGCAACTAGAAGCAAAGTCAAAACAAGGAAGCAGAAGCGCAAGATGGGTTTGGTGAAGAGACACTAAGATGTGAACCTTCACATGTCCTCTGTCCAGGGACTCGTTTGTCCCAGAGCCTGAGTGGGGCCTAGGTCTGAAATGGAATAGACATTTACAATTTTTTCAACATTTTGTTCTGCAAACATATCATATCCTAAAGACTGTACCTCTTCCCTGGAGGAGGACAGAAGAAGGGACAGTGGGAGAACCTTGAATGGACCAAGTTTGAACCTTGATCTTGACTAGGAGAACATATATTTTTGTAATTAGGAACACAATAATAATGAAGAGAGAAGATTAATAATTTTTTACCATCAATAGAAATGACACGCATGGGCTTGAGTAACTCCAAAGCTAAATTGACTCTGTTTAAAAAGATTTTGAGGAAAGTTTGGCACATTTCAGTCATGATTTGCACAATTTGACCTAGCAATACAAATATCTGATGCCCTAATTACATGCCACTTTTTCATATCTTTTTTTTTTCCTTTTAATCACTCAATCTTAGCAAGTGTTTGCCCTCAAAGTCCCAAAATAAGAGACTGGTGTTTTGAATATAATTTCATTAATAGAATTAGCATGATAGGCAGGGCACGGGATTTTTCCTTCTCTACTCTTCTTTCAGCCCATCTGGTCCAAAATGCTCCTCAGATGAGGTGAACTGCAACCACCATTTTACTCAGTTTATTCTCATGGTTTGAATTATGTCTCCCTGGAAGGGTTACTGCTATTGAAATCCCTTGTGCACTTTTTGAACAAATGGCTGCTGCCAATCCTATTACTCAAAATTCCACAGGGGAGTTTAGAAGGTGAGTTCCAAATTCATTGTGGCTGAACCAGAAAAGTATATTTGAGAGCAAAATTCTGCAAAAGAATTTGGCAAGAGATTATTCTTGAGAGTTCTCTTTCCTTCTAAATGCCTAGAAATTTGGGTTGATTTTTATCACTTTAACACAGTGTTTCTCAACAGCAGCATTGTTGACATTTGGGACTGAGTAACTCTTTTCTCAGACGTGTGTGCATTATGGGGTGTTTAGCAGTATTCCTGGCTTCCACCCACTAGAAACCACTAGCACCCCCTTAGCCAGTTTTGACCATCAAAAATGTCTCCAGGCATTGTCAAATGTCCCCTGGAGATAAAACTGCTCTTAGTTGAGAACCACTGATTTATTTATTTATTTTAATTTTTAACAGCTTTATTAAGGTGTAACTGATATACAAAGAACTGCACATATTTAATGTGTACAATTTGATGAGTTTGGACACATATAAACACCTATGATACTATCATCACAATCAAGGTAATAGGCATATTCAACACCTCCCAAAGTTTCCTGTATCCTCCCTTTTTCTATGACAGGAACACTTCACCTGAGATCTACCCTCTAAACAAAGTTTGAAGTGCACAATTGTTAATAGGCACTAGGTTATATAGTAGATCTCTAGAACTTACTCATCTAGCATAACTGAAGCTTTTACACTCACCAAATGACTTCTCATTTCCACTACCTGAGAACCACTGATTTAATACCTTTAAAATACTTTGATTCTCTAGACAAGATGACTAATTAGATTTGTAACAATATTACCAATAGATAGCTATCCATATGCAATCCTGTATTTTCTACCTTTAAAGAAGCACTATACATATGTACAATATAAACATGATTAATATTGTCTTTTTCACATTACTCTTGCCATCCAACCAACAAAATGTAATATTGTCTCGATCATGGATTATTGAGCAATTGAGAACAAAACAACAATAAAGATAAAACTATTAGGTGACCCATAAACCAATATTGAAATAAATAAGCACTGAAATAACTAGTAATTCTGTTTCTACAGCTAGGCCATTTTTGTATTTTATCTCCCTTTTAAGGAGCTATTTTTCATTCATAGCACTGTTGTAAATTATGCACAGCAGACTTCTTCATTTAATAGGTTCAGGTCAGAGAGTGATTGTATTTCAGCAGTTGGTATTCAGGGATTTTGTAATTTATGAGGTTTATTAATTTAGCAGATTATTTGCTTAAGATGCCACTATCCCTTCACCAAGCAATCACTGTGAGAATTTCTGGTCAGTTTAGCATTTTTAAAAGAAGCTTCAGTATTTAGAACATTCTCATACCCCTCAAAATTATATAAATTCCACAAAATTTAGCACATAGGAAGTGATTAGAAGAGAAATAAACGAACTGTTTTTTCCTTTTGTGCATGTGAAGGAGGGTAAGTGGAAAACTGGAAGTTAGGGGCTGAGGAAGAGCACCTTATTGTTCCCTGGAAGATTCAACAGGGAGTGAAATTAGAAAGAAACAGGTACTGTAAACGCCAATATAGGAAGTGCTTACAGAATTAGGCCCCCTAAAGAGGGCAATCCCTAGCATTTCTGAGAGGATCTCGAATTGGTCCACTGCTTCTTTAATCACATTACAAAACAGGCAAGAACAAAAAGAGCAGGGAGGTAAATGGGATGCAAATGGGAGGTAAAGGACTCAGTGCCAGGTGACTCAGAAAGGTATAGGCAAGTTTCTTTTCTTTGTATTTAGAAATATGAACTATTGCCACAGGATATATTTAAAACAAGAAAATGGGTTATAAGAAATCATATAAAATGGTATTATTTGCAGGAGCTTATGTGTCCCCCCAAATCCAAATCTGACTCTAGTGTCCTCTCAATGTCCAAATGAAAATGCAACCATCAACTGGAGTACTTTCCCAAGTATAAACATGTCACCAAATATCCTTCTTTAGCAAAAGGGCTTGGCTAGGTCATTAGAAGCCAACCAATATGACTAAAATGAATCAGATATTTTTCCTTTAAAATAGGCTTCCTGTATTCTTCATGGAAAAAAAAAAGCCTATTTTTCCCTCCTTTCTCTCCCGTATAACCTTTCAAGAATCTTCCACCTGGTGTCAGTGGTGAACTCCTCTCTGCCTCATACATGCTTCCAGAATTTCTGCATCTTCACACATTTCCCTCACTTAAAATTACTTTCCACTCCTTCCTATCTGCATCTGATTATCCTTAAAGCTGTGGCTGAAGTCTCACCTCTTACTGAATCCTTATTTGAACTCCATCCTCCACACCCACCTTGAAATAATATTATTAATCTCCAAACATTTATGGTCCTTGGTGCCAGGATCAGTCATTTGTCATTGCCACTCATTGTATATTTTAATATTTTAAATGTGCATGGTTTATATTCTCAATGATAAAATAGGAAGCTTATAGAGATGATTAATACTTCAGCATATCCTTTATAGATAATTGCTATTTTTGAAATATTTAGGTGAAATTAATTGAGAAAGAGGTGGTTTCTCTTTGCTGCTTACATAACCTGACATTCAGACATTCCTCTCCTTTCTTTGTGACCTCCCCCCACCAATTCCAAGCATCTTGCTACCTGTACCCTGATCCTAACTAGTTCTGTGTTTCCACTTTCTCCCACAACCTCTAAGATTGCATTGCCTCCTAGTATGCAACAAAAATGAGTTAGATGAATACCTGCCCATAGTGAGTCAAATTATTAAATTAGATTCATACCTGCAGATTAATACTAGCCCATGAGTGAGCCAAATTATTAAAGACAAGTTAATCTGGGCTTTTTGTGCATATTATATGTGTATGTGCATGTGTTTGTGTGTACTTATTTGGGGAAAGAATGGAAAGATTCTCTCAATATTCTCAGATTATGCCCCCTGGCTGCTGCCCAGCGTACGTTGATGAGCTGCTTACAGCTATCATCTACTGGTAAATGAAAAGATAAAATGACTCAAGCTAATAAATATGATGTAAATGATTTTAATCCACATTTGTAAGACATCTAAAAGAATAAATGATGTGTGATTATTCTCAATGAGACTTTTTTAAAAGTTAGTTTTAAAGATGTTCATTTTGTTACCCCAGCCTTCTCATGCCAATGCATTTTCTCTTCTATGTGTCTTGAACTGGGGTCAGAATCCCTTGCAGCAAGGCCTGGAAATATAAAAGGAGATTCTTTGTTCTTATAAAATTAACCTAAATTCACAACTTCAATGTGATAGCATTAAAATTTAATATTAATTCTATACCACTTAGGGCTTTAGTTTCCAACTTTACATAACGGAGAATGATTGTACCTTCCTTTATCTTCTTTTTTCTCTTTCTGTATAGCTATTTTAAATGTTCACTGGTTTTCTTGAAACTTAGCAATCAGATAAAACTGTCTTGATTGATGTTACAGAATCATGGATTTCCCCACCAAACCAAAGGAATCCTTCCTCATTATCTCTGGTCTCTTCAGCTAGGCCATGCTCATCTTCAGGTAAATGTACTTATTCCCTATCTTCTCAAATCAGCTATCCACTTTTCTCCAGCCAAGCTTGGCTGTAAATTGATAAAATCTCCAGTTGTCTTTGTGATTTCCCTACAGAGTGCAGCTGGGTCCCTTTCAGTTTAAAAGAAACAGGTGTGGGGGTAACTTTGCTCAACCTTTAAAAAATTGCTGTCATAAAAGACAGAGATGGAGTGGTGACTTAAATATATATTTTTTTGAATGGCAGAAACATCTTACTCTTATGGAATAGGAAATTCATGAAACATAAAACTGGCTAATCACAAAGCATCAGGCTTACTGACTGCTTCCATTTGTTCTTCATTTTTTTTTTGGGCAGGAAACTTTGATATTCAAGCTCACAGCTTTCAAAAGCGCTGAATATACTCAGAAAAATTAGAAACAGTGAGGTTAAATGGGAGTATTAGCTTTCAATCCTTCCAAACTTGGTAAACATCAGAAGACATTAGTCATAATAGAAGAAGTGATGAAGTAGGAATTAAAAACCTGGGGTTCCAGTCTCATCTCACATAAACTAGCCAAGAGATCTTTGATAGGTCATGAAAGCTTTCTGGACCTCAGGATTCTTATCTGTAAAAGGATGAAATTGAACTAGATAACCTCTGAGTTATATTCCAGAACTAAAATCCAAGGGCTCAACCTAATATTTTTAGACCTTTTAAATTTCCTCTGGTGCATAATAAATGCAGGTTTGTGTTTTATCTAGAAAGAATGAGAGAGATTTAGGAGTAAATTTGTAATAATTTTTGACTTAAGACCAGAGATGCTAAAGAGAAAGTTGGGTTCATAGGGATATAATGGGAAAGCATCCACCTATTAATGTTCCATTCTTAGACATGAGCATATGTAAAGTTGACACTGTTTTAAATATCCTCTACTCCTTATTCACCATTATTACTCTTAACAATATTTTTATTATTGCCGCTGTGTCAGCAGGTTGGCTAAGATTTGGTTGATCTCGGCTGGGCTTGGCTGGTACCTCTACTTTAAACCACTGGTTTGTGGGCATGTTAGGGTGACCCTGATTCATATGTTTCTTGTCTTTTCATGCCAGAGATTTCAGCCAGGGCATGTTCTTCTTATGGTGATGGTAGATGTTTAAGAGTAATCTTAATTTATAGATGAGAAAACTGAAAGCCAGAGAGGTTAAATAATAACAACACCCATTTCAAAGTAGATGAAGAAAATAAAGGGGGAGAGGAGAATGATTCTTTGGTTTATGTAGGTGGAAAGTCCAAATGGATGATCTGGCTTCAAGGCACAGCTGAATTTATTGGTTCAAATGATGTTCTTGGGTCTCTGTCTCTCTCCATCTCTTGGTTCTGCTTTCTTCTGTATTGGTTTCATTCTCAAGCTGATGCTAGCTGCCTGAAGCACTGGCCTTAAGGCTCATAATACAGAAGACAAACATTCTACCTTGTTGTTTATATAACATTTGCAAAACTATTAGACTGGCTGAGCTAGAGACAAGAACTTGCAAGAACTTGTACACGCATAGCCTTGAGATAAGAGAAGTGAGGCCATTTGATGTCAGCGTGGAGTAGGGGAGGGAATCCCTGAAAGGAAAAGATGCTGAATTGATAAAAACTTACAGATGCCTGCTCAAGTGTTTACCTAAAAGCCTACAAAAGTGGCAGAGCCAGGACTAAAACATTTATTTCCTTGACAGTTAACTTTAATATACCTTGTACACATTAGTGATGTTCTCTATGTCCCATTCTCATAGTGGTGGGAAGCAGGTCTGCCTAATGATGAATCAATGCCAACTCCAAGCCCTGGGGAGACAGAAATGATGCCCAGGACATATATATCTCCTATCTCTGGATCTCAGAAACACATTTGGGCCACTCATTTAATCTCAAGTGATCCAATACATTGAAGCTGGTCAGAATGTCCAACCAGCCGACTCTGTTTCTTAATTCCTGAAATAAATGGCTCATTGTGCTGGTAAGAGTGACCATACCTATTTGTGTATGCAATCCCTCTATACAATTGAGGGGAAAAAAATCACATAGTTTATTATTTTTAAAATATATCACCCCACTGCTATGTTTGTTTTATTCATCTTTTTAAAAACAAAACCATAGCTCTATGAAAGACTTTACTAAACAGAAAGTGATTATTTCTGTGTTAGCTTCCTAGGGTTGCTATAACAAAGTGCCATAAACAGGGAGTCTTAAAACAACACGCATTAATTGTCTCGCATTCTGGAAGCTGCAAGTCTGAAATCAAGGACTTGCTGTCTCTGAAACTTGCAGGGGAGATATCTTTGCTTGCCTTTTCCTAGCTTCCGGTGGTTTTCCAGCAATCTTTGACATCGTTGGCTTGCAACTGCATGACCCTAGTCTCTGTGCCTGTCTTCACACGGCATTCTCCCTGTGTCTCTGTGCCTTTGCATGCCCATCTTCCTGGGAGGACACCAGTCATGTTGGATTAGGGGCCTACCTTTTTCTAGTGTGACCTCAAGGATACCAGTTGTGGTGGATTAGGGGCCCACCGTTTTCCAGTGTGACCTCGTCTTAACTAAGTATGTCTGCCACGACCCTATTTCCAAACAGAGACACATTTGAGGTCACTGGAATTAGGACATCAACATCTCTTTTTGAGAGAGACACAATTCAAATGACAACAGTCCTTGGCAGGATAAAGGGTTAAAACTAAGGGAACTGCTGGTTGTTTGACACTCCACTTAGTAAGTGTTACTCCTCTTGGCCTTCCCTGCTCTTTCCTCCTCTCTTTTCCCCCCACCACCTTCCCTGTCAGAATTTCCTAAGTACTTTCAACCTCAGGAGACAGATAATGTCTTTATATTTAACTTCCAAGGGAATTTTTTCCACATTAATTTATCATATCATACACTGATCCATGAGGTAAATTCGGCAAACTTCATTATCTCTTTTCAGTAAGTGACAAAAGATAAAGACACCCAGAAATATGGAATGTCTTGTCTAAGGTCATTCAGCTGGGTGGTAAAGCTTGGATGAGAAGGAGAATGCCTAATTCTAACACCTGAGATTCATTCGCCCTGTGCTGCCTCCCAGCTCCAGAAAGACTCAAGGATTTGGTGACTTTTAAATGGGTCTTTCCTTTCTATATGTGCCACAGCTTCCCAGGCCCATCACATATCCAGCCATGTCTCTGCTTTTCACGGAAGGTTGACAATTCACAAAACTTTAAACGCATCCTGAGAGCTTTCCTAAGCTGTGTGGTCCTATTTTAACTGCAAATTGGGCATCTTCACTCGGAGGTTCTTTAAATATGGTAAGTCAGTATTTCCTCCCTCCCAAGATTCATTCCTTGTCGCAAATTTCCCCATCTCTGTTAATGGCCTGGGACCTCTTACCACTCCTACATCCATGTAGGAATCTATCTCATTGCTAGACCACATTGCATTTACCCCCAAACTCTCTCAGATCTCTCTCTTCCTTTCTATCCCAATTGCTGCTGCTTTTGCTGGATTCTTCATCAGTCCTGCCTGAACTGTTGGTTTTCCTTCCCCACTGTTCCCTCCCTGCTCCAGCTCATCCTCTACACGGCCCCTAGAGTCATTCTTAAAATGGTCAATTTAAAGTTCTTCAGTGGCTGTGAGAGCTGAACTATAAAATAAAACCAAGTATTAATGGACAAGATACTGGAAACATCGGGGGAACTATGGCAGTAAATTTGACAAGGGTAGTTGTATTATTAAAAATATAGAAAGATAGTCTTAAATTTCTAAGCTGTCCAAGAATATTACATACTCAAAGAAGAGTTCAGGTAAATAAAAATGGTTGGCGAGAGGGAGAAAATGTATATATGGCAACTTTGAGTGACTTGCTCAGTTTTTCTGTTAATGTAAAACTGCTCTATAAAAATAAAATCTAGGCTGGGCATGGTAGCTTATACCTGTAATCCCAGTACTATATGGGAGGCCGAGGCGGGTGGATCACTTGAGGTCAGGAGTTCGAGTCCAGCCTGGCCAACATGATGAAACCCCGTCTTTACTAAAAATACAAAAATTAGCCAGGTGTGGTGGTGCAAGTCTGTAATCCCAGCTACTCGGGAGGCTGAGGCACAAGAATTGCTTGAACCCAGGAGGTGGAGGTTGCAGTGAGGCAAGATTGTGTCTCCGCACTCCGGCCTGGGCAACAGAGTGAGACTCTGTCTCAAAAACAAATAAAATAAAATCTATTAATTAAAAAATAAAAACGATTGAGAATGAACTGTCATTGTTACAAATAGTTATAAAAATATTATAAATAAAACTAAGCATAATTACTTTTAGGTGTTACAGCTCGTCTGGATCCATGGTTAGGGTTTAGAGGACTGAAAGAAAGAGTATTTGCTCAATCATATTAAAACCTAACTTGCTGATATGCCGCCTTATTCTAAATTGCAAGTTTCATAAGCACTAAAAATTGGCTGACCTACTTCACCATAGTAATTGAAAGGGATTATTACTGACGATTAGCAAGCAAGCAATGGTAATAGATAATTTACTTTCCAAATATTTTGCAAGCAAGCGCATTTTTTTTTTCAAAAAAGAAAACACATTAGACAGTTGTTTCTTGGCAAATTACAATGCATCTTTTATTTCTTGACAAATAATTCATACTGCAGTGTTTTTTACAGCCTGTAATTCTAATGTGGCTGTTACATTTGTTATGTCTACAGACACTTTGTCAGGATAAGTATTCAGTACAATGCATAGGGACTTATCCACGCAGCGCTCATTATAGCCGATAGTCCCAAGATCATGGCCTGGGCAAAGCTCAGAGAGGAGGCCTTTTATAGCCAGATTTTGTCCTTCAAGGGAAAATGGAGTCATTTTCTATGTAAATGTTAAAACTCTTCCAGCCTCAGATAGTCTATTACAGCCTTTCCAAGGTGTTTTCTTTTCTATCCTTAGTGAAAAATATAGTAAAATCATGGCATATTTTTCTCATCCCACACAAAGGAACAGAAATCACTATATCTTTAGCAAAGGCTAAGTAAGGTGAAGGATGGAAGAGGCTCTGATGATTCACGATGTATTATTGGATAACACCTTCATTTTCGGGAAAACTATATTTTGAGTTTAAATTAATTATTACTTATTGGATTATATTTCTGGTCAATATGCCATTGTTTAGCACTCTGTTCTCTAATTACAACCTTGTCATACAATTTCTATGACTTATATCACTATCAGGTTAAGTTTAATGCAAAATACATATTAGGTAATCCAAAACTACTTGAATGAATTTAGTCCTCTGTGGTTTTCTGCAAAGGCACTGCATTAATGAGTTTTTCAGTGTCAATAAATCATTTTCTTTGCTTATCCCCAGAAAAATACATTGTTTTCTGCATAGAAAAGAAATTATAGTAGTAATTAAAGCACACGATTTGCCAAAAACTCTGGTAGCAGTATGCTGCTCTTTGTTCTAATGGAAAGCCTGGACTATTCTAAAGTCATGGACCTGTGTTAACATGGTTTCTTTTTCTTGGAATAGTACTCAGACACTGTTTGTTATATGAATGAGTGAATATATGAGTGAGAGAATGAACGAGAGTCCTTCTCTCTACCTTCTGTCTGGATCTACGGTATTCTTTAGAGCTCACCCTTACTGCTGTGACTTAGCCACCAAACACCTGTAGTTATACTTTGTGCATCTTCCCACACATCAGGAATCCGGCTTTCTGTTCAGTAAATATCTAATGAATTAATGACCCAGCTGACAGCAGTTTACTTGCCCTCTCAATAGATTGTGGCACTATTGACACTATGTCCTTCTTGAAATAAACTGTATTCTTGCCTGATTTTTCTGCTACCCTCTAGCTATTTCTTCTCAGACTCCTTTGGCAATTTGTTCTGGGCCTTCTTCTTTTTCTACATTCTTAGTTAATTTCATCCATCACTTGAGTTTTATATACTATGTAGGATAATGCCCTCTAGGGCCATGCATGTTATAGTAAGTGAAATAAGCCTGACACAGGAAAAAAACATGACCTCACTTGTATATGGACACTTTTTTTAAAGGCCTAATATAAAGAGATGGAGAATAAAATGACAGAGTTTTGGAGCGTAGAAAATGGAAGATGTGGGTAAAGGAGACAAAATAGAAAACATGTATGATGAACAAGTCAAAAGATCTAACAACAAGAGGACTACAGTTAATAATGGTGTATTATATTCAGGATTTTTGCTAAATGAGTAGATTATAGCTGCTCTTGCCGTGAGAAGTGGGGAAGGCAAAAATGGGTAACTACATGAGATGATGGATATGTTAACTTGTTCCACTATAGTCAACATTTTACTATATATATATACATATATATGTATCTTTTATAATATCATATTGTATACCTTAAATATATACAACTAAATGTATTTTTAAAAAATAGATAGTATCAAAATGTTGAAAACCCTCCAAA
Source organism: Homo sapiens (assembly GCF_000001405.40). Lineage (NCBI taxonomy): Eukaryota > Metazoa > Chordata > Mammalia > Primates > Hominidae > Homo > Homo sapiens. The sequence goes on from NC_000002.12 coordinate 58,366,036, forward strand.
TTTTATTTCTTTCTCAGACCAATCTTCAATCTTCTGAGCTCTGAACTTCATTTATATTATTATTTATTATATATTATATAGATTTATATATACATATATAACTTCATATATATTTATATATATATAACTTCACATATATGTGTATTTATATATATGGTGCATCTTCTCCATTCCAGGTGTCATAACAAAATACCACAGACTGGATAGCTTAAACAATAGGAATTTATTTTTCACAGTCTGGAGTTTGGGAAGTCCCAGATCAAGATACCAGCTGATTTAGTTCCTTAGTGAGGGCTCTCTTCCAGGCTTACAGATGGCAGATGCCCTTCTTGATGAATTAGTACCCTTATAGGAAGAGAAACCAGAAAGCTTGCTTCCTCCATCTCTCTCCACCATATGAAGACACAGCAAGAAGCACATCATGAGCACCCTACCCTCAGATCTCGTTTAAACTTAATTACCTCCCAAAGACTCGGTCTTCAAACGCTGTCATGGTGGGAGTTAGGGTTTCACCATGTGAGTGGTGAGGCGATACAATTTAGCCCATAGCACCAGGTAATCTCTCCATGGATACAGACTGAACAAAACTGATACAGGATCCTTTCTTACAGAACTACATTCTAGTTAAGGAAAGCAAACAGTAACCCAGTAAACAAAAATAAATGATTTCAATTATTATGTATCAGTAAAATATAAAGGTTAAAAAGTAAAATAAATAAGATAATTTCAGATAGTGATAAATGCGCTGAGGAAAAGAAACAGGGTAGTGTGACAGTAAAACTAGAATGGGATCAGGAGTTTAAAGGGCATGAGAAATAGGGCTAGTCTTTGTAGGAATGTGAACATTTAAGTCCTGGATCTGAATAATGAGAAGGAACAAGCTAAAATTTAGGGCAACAGTTTTCTAGGGAGAACCAACCCTGAGCTTGGCTACTTTGAGAAACATAAATAATTTTATAAACAAGGCTATAACCGGCATACCTAATTGGCTACCTAAAAGACATTTTGTGAGTCTAATCTTAAAACCAGTTCCAGATCACCCCCTAGAAATGTATATCTTTCCTGATCTTCCCTACCTCAGTAAATGGTTCTACCATGCACTTAATTGATTAAGCAAGACTTCTAGGAGTGATTTCTGTTATCTCTCCACTTCTCACTTCCAACATGCAATCCTGCTCCAAGACCTATCTCCAAAATACATCTGTTCACTTTTCCCCCTTACAACAACACCAATACAAGTCACCATGATTTCTCCACAGGAACTATTTCAATTATATATTAATCATTCAGATTGTTCACACTCTTGACTCCTTCAAGCCATTTCACACAAGACTGAGGGGGATGATCATTTAAAAATCCAAATTGTTGGGTGATGCAACAGCAATCAAGACAGAAGTATCTGAATAAAAAAAAAGAGACATATACATAAATGGAACTGAATAGACAATCCAGACATAAACCCACAAATTTATGCTCAAGTGCTATTTGACAATATTTCTAAGAAAATTCAATTGAGAAAGAATAATTTTTTCTACAAATTATGCTGGGACAACTGAGAATCTTCATGCAAAAAAAAAAAAGAAAGAAAGAAAAGAAAAAGAAAAGAAAAGAAATTAGATGAATTCTTTCTACCACACAGATAAATTCACTCGAACTGGATTTTTGACCTAAATATGAGAGATAAAACTATAAAAAATCTTAGAAGAAAATATGGGAATAAATCTCCATGACATTTGGTTAGGCACTCATTTCTAAGATATGACAAGGAAAAGCATACGTGATAAAGAAGAAACAGTTAAATTGAACTTTGTCAAATTAAAAGCTTTTGTGCTGCAAATAATACCACAAAGGAAGTGAAAGACAGCCCACAGAATGGGAGAAAATATTTGCAGATCATATATTTGTTAAGGAACTTGTACCTAGAATATAAAAAGACCTCTTAAAATGCAATTATGAAAAAAAAACAGATTTTAAAATGAGCAAAGGATTTTAACTGACCTTTCCCCAAAGAATATGTATCAAGAAATGATAAGCACATGAAAATATGTCAACATTCTTGATTATTAGGAAAATGAACATCAAAACCAAGATGAGATACCACTTTATACCACTTTAAGGTGGCTATAATTAAAAAGACAATAGGAAGTGTTAGCAAGAATGTAGAGAAATTGGAACTTGTAAACAGCGGACAGGAATGTAAAACTGCGCAGCCACTTTGTAAAGTGTTATGTCAGTTTCCCAAAATGTTAAATATAAAGTTACTATATGACATAACAGTTGCACTCCTCAGTATACATGGAACAGATATAAAAATATATGTCTGCATAAAAATTTGTACTTGAAAGTTCATAGCGGCATTATTCATAATAGCTAAAATGTAGACACAACTCAAGCATCAATTAACTGATAAATGGGTAAATAAATGTGGTATATCCATACAACAAATTAATGTTCAACAATACAAATAATTGAAGTACTGATACATGCTACAACATAGCTGAAGCTTAAAATCATTATGCTAGATGAAAGTAGCCAATCACAAAAGGCCAAATATTGTGTAATTTTATTTATGTGAAATTCTAGAATAGGCAAACCTATAGAAACAGAAAGTAGGTTAGTAGTTACCTAGGGCTTGGGGAGGGGGAATGGGGAGTGACTGCTAATGAATATGGAGGATTTTTTGAGGGGAAAACAAAAAACATTTTCAAGTTAGATTGCAGTGATGATCATAAAAATGCATGAATATACCAAAAGGCATTAAATTGTATGCTTTAAATAAATGAATTGTATGCTTTATGAGTAATATCTCAATAAAGCTGTTCAAAATTGTTAGGCGATGAAGATATTCTGTATTTTATGAGTTACATGTTTGAATCAATTTGTCAAAATTGTATAGTTGAGATTTGTGCACTTCAGAAAATATGAATTTTACCTAAAAATAGATATAAAGTAATAATCAAGTAAGGGTAGAGAATAAAGGATAGTATAGGTAAAACAAAAATAGCAGAATGTTAATAATTGTTGAAGGTCAATAATAGGTACAGAATGGTTTATTATAATATTCAGTTTATTTTGCATGTATTTAAATTATTCCATCTTATGTTTTAAAGTATATATTATATGCATAAATATATATTTCTGCATAGCACTTTTCAAAGGCCTCTCTACTGTGGACTATAGAACCCTGCATGATTTAGCCCGCTGCCTCCCCGCCTCACCTTGTGCCCCTCTTCCACAGTTTTGCTCTGCCTCGTCACCTGGGCTTCTTTTTCTTCCTCTCCGCGGGTGCAGGAATACTCATCCTTTCATCCTTTCTCTGATTCTCCCTTCATATTTTGGGCCGCAGCCTATAAGTAACTTCCTCAGAGAGGCATTCTATTTCCATCAAACTCTCTCTCGTGGCTCCCAACTTTTTGTTCTTTTTTTCAAAGAACATACCACAATATGCAATTATATATTTATTTATATTTTTATTTGGTTTTTCTCAGTAGGATCTAAACTTCATGAGGTCAGAGATCTTTTTCTATTTTGTCCTACGCTGGCTATTTTCTGCCTAGAGTTTGCGTGCCAACACATTAGTAAATAATAGTTTTTACACAGAAGTAAAGAATAAGTGAGTATAATTTTAGATGGCTCATCTTATGAAGAATTTCTAAAACCAGATTAGACCATGGAAGAACTAAAGTTTCAGAATGTATATCCTGTTTTTTTAATGTTTCAGTGATACTTTTTCTATCAGCAACTTTTTATATAAAAACTCATTACTCAGGGATTTTTAAGATGGTAATTTAAAACATTTTAGAGTGAGGTTGAAATTTCAAGGAAATCGTAAACTGTATTACCAAGAATTATTTTTTCTGATGCCAGAGGGAATTTTTTAAGAATATAATCCTATGGCTATTGTTTTGTAGCTTAATGAACTCAAAGTGAGGAAATAAGCACAGCTGCTGGCATTTAAAGCTATCAATAGGTAAACAAGGCGAGAAAACAAGTAATAAACCTTGCTTTCATTTTTGATTGCCAGGAGTAGATTAGAATTGTTAAGAAAAAGATGGAGCAAAATGTTGGGGTATTGTTAATTAAAAAAAAACCTAGTATATATGCTTAAAATATTCTTAAAGCAATGGATGTGATGAAAGATACATATTAAATACCTAGGTGCTACATTTTTCAACTGCCAGTGAAAATTCTGAACATTTTGGATGCACTTAATTTTTAAAAGAGCAGAAATTAAATAGTTTATACTGTGGTAAACTATAATCCTTAATATTCTTAACAAAAATATATTTTCCTTAACAATATTGAAATGTTTTTTACGCAGTATATATTTTATATGAGGTAGCTACATTATTCTGCTTTTCAAACTTTAATGTGCAAAATAATTCAGGGGAATCGTATAAAATGAAGATTTTGATTCAGTAGATCTTGGATGGGGCCTACACTTCTGCATTTCTAGCAATTTCCCAGATGATGCCAATGCTGTGGGTCCAGAGACCACACTTTGCTCAGTAGTGATCAGCACACTATTGAACTTTATTGGCAGAGGTAGTTCCATTACTAAAAATTGTAACTAGACAGTACCTTGAAGATCATTTAGTGCTTTCCTGCCTTCAGGAGAGGAACATCTATCATGAGGGCAGATGGCTTTTCTCTTTTTGAAGATCTTAAGAAAATGCCAAACTGCTTAATTTGCATCCCATTATAGTGTTTATTCACTTTGATCCTTAAGGATCACATATCCTGGTAAAAGTGGCAAATATATAGGCATGTGAACCACTGAAAAATAATACAAGGTAATAGATGACTATGGGCTACTGAAACCCTTGGCTCTTGATTCAAATATATCTTTCTCTATGTCATTTTTAACTTGATTTTTATCTTTATTCTGTTCATATTATTATATATATAATCATATGCTACATCAAATAATTGTTTGAATTATAAAAATACAAGTTAGGGAATGCTACATGAGTGTTTTACATAGTAAGTCTGACAGAAATTCAGAGAAAGAGAAAAGTCTAGAAATCACCAGACATTGCCCTAGAATGCTTCTTTTAGGAGGTGTTTTTAAGCTGGGTCTGTAGCAACAAGAGTGAAGTATAGAAAGGAAGGACAAATAAGGTGTGTCAGCTAAAGAATAAGTGGAATAACTGGGTAGAGCAAAGTGTTGGGAGATAATAAGAAATTAAATAGAGGAAAAATTTAAAAGTAAAATTGGAGTTAGGCAGTAGAAAACTTTCAGGAGTAAGACTCAGTGATTTGCCTACTCTTCCAAAGGCAGTGGGAGTCATGGGAGGTTTTCTGTGGGCAAATGACAAGATGAAAGCACAGCTGAGCAGGCTGGTAGGAGCCAGAAAGAGCTGGAGTCAGGGAGCCCATCACCCTACAAGCGTATAGAACCCTGCCATAGACATGGAAGTGCAGGGAGAGGAAGTAGCTTTGGAGAAGATGTATTTGGACCAAAAATCTGAATTTGGTCTAACATAAATGTTCCCAGCTTTAAGTCTATTATGTTTGCTTGATTTCTGTAAACATAGGAGAAAACGATTAGACTCTGAATAAACTAAAAAACTCTAAATCTAGATATGTTAGAAAACAATAGGTTTTTTTAATGTAAATGACGAGTTGATGGGTGCCACAAACCAACATAGCACATGTATACCTATGTGTACGTTGTGTGCATGTACCCTAGAACTTAAAGTATAATAATACAAATAAAAATAAATAATAGGGTTTTTACTCTTTACTAGATTTTTTTAAACCTTTCAGAACGTTTAATGCTTGGCTCAGTTAGCCTAAAACACACAAACACAAACACAAACACAAACATGCACACACAGATACATACACAAATACATAACACATGCACACACATGTTCTCTCAACCTTGCTCTTCACTTCTTTTGCCATTCTACTTCTCTCCTTCTTTAGCTGCTCTGTGTAAAGATGAATCTACACTCATGGCCTGCCCTTCAGCATTTTGCAAATTTACTCCTTAAACGTGTTGCACTCTGGCTTTTGTGTCCTCAACCCCCACACACAGTTGAAATTTTGCTGAAGAATAATTTACTAATTTTCAAATTGAGTAGCCTAAACAAATTTTTACTATGAAAAATTTCAAATATAAAGGCAAAT